>NC_000004.12:138012290-138315320 GCF_000001405.40 Homo sapiens | reverse complement strand
GCCATACTGCCCAAAGCAATTTATAGATTCAATGCTATTCTTATCAAACTACCCACAACATTCTTCAGAGAACTAGAAAAAATTTTTTAATTCATATGGAACCAAAAAAGAACCCTAATAGCCAATGCAATCCTAAGCAAGAACAAAGCTGGATGCATCACACTACCTGACTTCAAACTATACTACAGGGCTACAGTAACCAGAACAGCATGATACTGATAACAAAAACAGGCACATAGACCAATGGAACAGAATAGAGAGCCCCAAAACAAGGCCACAGATCTACAGCCATCTGATCTTCAACAAAGGTGGCAAAAACAAGCGATGGAGAAAAGACTCCACATTCAATAAATGGTGCTGGGATAACTGGCTAGCCATATGCAGAAAATTGAAACTGGACCCCTTCCTTAAACCGTATGCAAAAATTCACTCAAGATGGATTAAAGACTTAAATGTAAAACCCAAAACTCTAAAAACCCTAGTGTCTTCTAGGGTTTTCTTATAGTTTCTTCTAGATTTTCTTATCTAGGCAATACCAATCAGGACACAAGCATGGGCAAAGATTTCATGACAAAGGCACCAAAAGCAATCCCAACAAAAGCAAAAATTTAAAAATGGGATCTAATTAAATTTAAGAGCTTCTGCACAGGAAGAGAAACTGTTAACAAACAGACAACCTACAGAATGGGAAGAAAATACTTGCAAACTGTGCACCTGACAAAGGTCTAATATCCAGCATCTATAAGGAACTAAGACAAATTTACCAAAGAAAAACAACCCCATTAAAAAGTGGGCAAAGGACATGAACAGTCACTTTTTTTTTTAATAAAAGACATACATGTGGTCAACAAGCATTGAAAAAAGGCTCAATATCACTGACATTAGAGAAATGCAAATCAAAACCACCTCACACAAGTCAGAATGGCTGTTGATAAAAAGTCAAAAAGTAACTGTTGCTGACAAGGTTACAGAGGAAAGGAAACACTTGTACATTGTTGGTGGGAATGTAAGTTAGTTTAACCATTGTGGAAAGCAGTATGGTGATTTCTCGAAGGGTTAAAATCATTCTACCATAAAGACACATGCACACGAATGTTTTTGTTTTGTTTTTTTTCTTTTTGAGATGGAGTCTCGCTTCATCACCAGGCTGGAGTGCAGTGGCGTGATCTTGGCTCACTGCAACCTCTGCTTCCCGGGTTCAAGCAATTCTCTTGCCTCAGCCTCCCGAGTAGCTGGGACTACAAGCACACACCACCATGCCCAGCTAACTTTTGTATTTTTAGTAGAGACGGGGTTTCACCATGTTGGCCAGGATGGTCTCAATTTCTTGACCTCGTGATCCACCCGCCTCGGCCTCCCAAAGCGCTGGGATTATAGGTGTGAGCCGCTGCGCCCGGTCACGAATGTCTATTTAAGCATGATTCACAACAGCAAAAATACAGAATCAACCTAAATGCTCATCAGTGACAGATTGGATAAAGAAAATGTGGTAGATATACACCATGGAATATGACGCAGCTATAAAAAAAACAACAACGAGATCATGTCTTTTTGTGGGAACATGGACAGAGCTGGAGGCTATTTGCCTTAGCAAAGTAACAGAGGAACAGAAAACCAAATACTACATGTTCTCACTTATAAGTGAGAGATAAATGATGAGAACTCATGAACATAAAGGGAACAACAGACACTGGGGTCTGTTTGAGCATGGAGGGTTGAAGGAGGGAGAGGAGCAGAAAAAGGAACTATTCGGTACTAGGCTTAATATATGGGTGATGAAGTAATCTGTAAAACAAACCCACGTGACATGAGCTTACCTATATAACAAACCTTCACATGTACCCCTGAAACTAAAATAAAAGTTTTAAAAAATGCAGGTTCTCAATATCACCTCTCCTCCATCTCACCCCCACTCTCACTTCTAATATAGTAGTTTGCACGGAGGTCCAGGAATCTGCATTTGAAGTTTCTTGGCAACATTTTCTGAAACACTGACCCAGATGATCTCTGTCTTCAGTCATGTGGTTGTGCTGTAAGAAAAAATAGTATCCAGAGAAATAGTTTCTATGAATTCCCAATCCTCAGCTTTCAATATTTCACAGTCCCTATATTTTGGTATCCCTTTTATTCTTCTCTCTTCTCACTCATGGTAAAAGGAGAATAGAAAAGTGACACAAATCCAGATATGTTATAAAAGAGGATTAATATTATCAAGAGGGGAGTTTATTTGTCCTCCTGTAAACATTCTACCCTAGAGAATTAGAAACACACTGGGGAGTAGATGCCTTCAAAAGCCCATAAGATCAGTTATTTATGCATTCGTTTTCACCATTTCAGGATGCAAAGTTATCAGAAAAGACAACCTCTCTGGTCTCAAGCCAGCTGGGACACTACCAGGATGTGACTAGAATTCTTTAAGGAGGACAGATAGGTATCAAAGGGGAAAAGAAGAAGAAGGGGAGGAAGAAGAGGAGGAGGGGGAGGAAGGAGGAGGAGGAGAAAGGGGCAGGGAAGGGAGATGGGGAGGAAAAATGTAGAACAGTTCTCTGGGTGGCCTTGGACCAGCCCTATTGTCCTCCCTTTTCTCATTTCTAGTTCTCAAGAACAGCTGTAGAATGTTCTGGGAATGCAACATTCTGAGATAAGGAGGGCTGGCTGGAACAGCCTGAGCTCTGTTCTGGGACCCCGCTTTACTGAAATAAGATAACCTTCAATGTTTTAGCCCAGCAAATCTCATTGCCCCACAGCATAAAACCAAGGTTGAGAGGCTTTCTGGGGTCCCTCAGCTGATACAAGTGGGGTATGCATGGAGGACACTCCATCTATCCTGGGCAAATTTCTTGAGCCTTGCAGACTGGCTTACAATGTGTCACGGGCTTCTGTTGTCTTGCTGCCTATCTGTAAGTAGTAAAAAGTCTCTTCATGCAGCTTGTTGTATGCACAGGTGTTTTCTCTCACTGGACTCAGACAAGTTGGTGACCCGCACACAATAAACCTGCTCCACAACAAGAGGAGAAGGAATTCCAGGTAGATCGACCTTCTATTCCTCTGGGTATAACTCTGATCCGCTGTGAGGAATATTATTATATTATTTCTGGCAGTGGGCCACAGTGGTACACCATTTGGGATGTGGTTGGGGGTAGGCTTAGAAATTCAGAGTGGAGCATACTATTAAACTTATGTTAAGAATCAGGATGGGTTTTGTCTACTATTTTGATTCTATTAATAGCAGGAACCTGAAGATAACAGGACCTTGCCATGCCAGTTACTATTTCTCATTGCAGTGTTTCTTCTGAGCAGTAACTCTAAGGAATTGGCCAAGCATCATCTTGTTGCTTGTGCTGGGAGGGAGAAGGGCTGGGAGGGAGAGAGCAATGACATTCCTGCTGTGAGGAAAGGGGCAGAAGCATCAACTCCCTTGCATTGTTGTCTTACATGGAAAGTATTCTGTTTCCCACTTTTTTCACTTCACATTGTGTCTTTTGCATTTTTTCTTCTTGCTACAATGTATTTAAAACTAACATTTACATTCACTAAATTTATGCAATACTCCACCTAGTTAGTATATTTTTTCTGCCATTTCCCTATTATTTCGTATTTAAAATATTCACAATACTTGATATTAAAAAAAAACCTAAAATAAACATTTTCGTGAAAGCTTTTGTCTACCCAAACCTAGTTCTCTAACATAAATTCTTATTTAATTCCTACGTTTAATGGAAAAATCCTTTTAAAATATGTGATTTTTTTTATTTTTAACATTTTAATTTACATGGGGCTAGATTTCTGTTCTTTCTCACTCACACTATCTCCCCTTACTTTTATTCTTAATTTTGTTTCTTGAGATGAAAAGAGGGAAAAGGGGTGAAGTGAGATCTAGGGGCATACCCTGAAAAGTCAAAGGTAATTTAAATTTCTCTCAGAGCCATTTCTTTACAATGAAATGAGCAAATGGAAATGAAATAAGCAAAAACAAAATAAGAAGAAATAATTAAAAGCAAAGACACAAAAATTCTAAATTAACAGCTTAATTTTTTTTTAAGCAGAAAAATTCAAAGCTAGAGTGACTAAACTTTCAATTATGTGGAAGGCTTTAGAGCAGTGGTTCTCAGCCTGGGTGTGTGCCACACTGACATGTTTGGAATGGTGTGGGAAAGAGGATCACGCAGAGAGTGGGGTTAGGAACTAAGCCTAATTTTGAACCTCTTACTCAAATTGCAGCTTAACCATCAAAACCTGGGGATCCTCATCACAATGCTGTGCATAAAATCATAAGTCTTACTGATTAAAAAGAAATTAAGAACATTGAAAGGGTGAAATTAAAAATACTGGCAGCTCTCAATTTGCTAATTCATATGTATCCATTTCAGTTACCATGATTTAGTTAAATAACACCAGTCCCTCAATAGCATGGTTCACGTTTCATTAACTATGGTATATTAACTGCAATTTCATGAAGTTCTAACCTCACTGATAGCACTTCAGTTCAGAAATCACTACATAAATATCAGATGCACATCATGATGAGTGACGGATCACCTCAGTATGGCTACTGCACATCTGTTACTCAGTTACCACCCAGCAAAGCATGTAATTGTGTTGCCTCCATGTCTTCCCATGATAAACTCACATGACATTTTACAAAACGGATGATTAAAAGAAGGAATTGTGCAACAGACGAAAGTGCAGCCAAGAAATGAAAAGCAATAATGCTGGATGTGAAATTAGATCCGATAAGAAGACAGCTGACTATGGAATATTGACATTGCTGTCATTTCAGTTTCTAGGTATGAGGCCACAGAAATTTACTAAAAGAGAACTTAACATAAATGAGAAAGGTAGTTGTGATGAACAGAATGAAGATGTCCTAGAGGAAGTAGTGCTGGCAGAAAATTTTCACGTTAGAAAAAACTCTTGGAGGTGTTTCAAGACACTGAAAGAACGAAGAATACAATGCGGGAAGCCGATCCGAACTTAGAAAAGCGTATGATAATTCGCCAGTGCGTAAAGAAAGATGGTGCTCCACATTGTTAGTTACATGACAAGGAGGCAAGCATGGTTTAAACTACTTTTGATAAGTTTTTATGAAAAGTAACTTCAGTTTTAAACATTTCTCATGTTTTAAGTTATATTGTACTAGGTATTAGTTTTACTATTTTTATTTGCTTGTACCTTTGTCAATGACAGCAAGAAAGATTTTGATGTTTTGGCAAAACTTTTTAAAGGCCAAGGCCCAATCATTAGTTTTCTCATTGATTATTAAGATTGCTTTGCGCAATCATCTTTGCAGTCCCACACTATCGTGCTTGTACTGAGGATTATCTGTACCTTATTTACTGTTACATAGTAACTTCAATACTGTCTCATTTAGTCCTCACAATAACTTGCTGAATGAAGCATGCATTATTATTTGTATTTAACAGAAAAGAGAGACTTTAGAGAAATCAAGAAATATGTTTAAATTTATGCTTACTCTTGGCTGAGCTGTGGTCCTGCAGTTGTCCCGTATTCTCTCTTCACTACAACGCTGCAGAGACTTATTCCCCTAAGCTGCCCTGTCCATCAGACAAGCACACCATGCCCGTTACATTCCCAGAGTTCCAGTTATATCCCCTCCCACCCAGGGGCTCCTCTGTTTTGCAGGGTTCACTGTGGTCTCAATCTGGGTCTTGCCTTTGTAGATCAATCGCTCTTTTGTTTCTCTACTATTCAGGGCATATTGTTGTTGCTGTTTTAAAAACATCTGACTCTCTCTTTTCTAATGAAACTGATTGTGTGTTTTTCCACAAGGCCAGACTCTCCTTTCCTATGATCAAATAATTAAAGGCAATGAATTAATGGAAGAAGCTTGCCGACCCCTTCCAGTGACCATTGGAATCCCAAGACTTCATTCCAGTCCTTTTTCTTCCTCAATCATCAAGCCCATCACTTTTTTCTTCTTACGTCTTGTGGATTTGTCTCTGCTCTCAATCTCTGTTTCTAGATATAAATTTAAACATTCATCATCTTTGCTGTAGTATATTCGTTTATTTTATAAACGCTGATAACACTATGTTCCAGACATTCTTTTAAGTGCTTTACAGCTTTACAAATATTAGTTTATTTAAAACCTCTTAACAGCTACATGAGGCAGATACTATATTATCATTCCCATTTATAATTGAGAAACTGAGACAGAGGCTTAAAGTAACTTTCCTAAATTCATACACCTGGTAAGTGATAGAGAAAGGATTTGAAACCAGGCAGTCTAACTGCAGAATCCATGCTTTAGGCACTGTTTTAGAATGTATCTCATTCATTCATACATTCATGCATTTATCCATTTAGCAAACATTTATTAAGTGCTTATCGTATCAAATACTGTAATAGAGAAGAAAGAAATGTATAAAAAATAAGTGGAGAAATGTTTTATAGGTTACATCACAGGTCAGGGTTAAAGTAAAGACACTAAGGAGTGAGCGGTCAAGTCTAAACAAGAAAGGCAGAGAAGAAATTTAAAATAGATGAGTCTTGAAATATGTGTGGGCAGTTACCTGGGAAACAGAACACTGCATTTTAAGGGCAAGAGCATTTTAAAATAGAGGGAGGGCTGATAACAAAGGCATGGAGGCATGAATAAACTGGTATGTTTGAGCCACTTCCACGTGGTTGAAGCAAGGATTGAGGTAGGGTTTAAAGTGAGACGAAAGGTTGAAAACACAGGAAAGACCCAACGTCAGGGGCAAGGACTTGGTGGTTCTGGCAATGAAACTTGAGTGTACATCTGACTCATGCGCTTCTGCCTGGGGCAACACAATTAGACTGTAGGAAGCTAAAACAAGGGAACTTGTATTCTAAACAAATCACCAAGTTTATTTTGGGGTAAAATAGTTTGAGAGCCACTGCTGCAGGTACGCCAGGCCTCCGTGATCTGGCTTCCGGTTTGAGTACTCTGCAGAGCACTTCACAGACAGCTTCATTCTGCACCATGGGAGATTGAGCTTTCCTCTTAACAGAACGAGTCCATTCTTATTCATTTCTCCATTGGAAAAACCAGTACTTGTGGAGTGACTCCATGTTAAATTCCTTCTGTATAGAGAAGCATATCTTGGTTCAATTTTACATAATTTCACCATGCTAGGCACTTTGAGTTATTGCAAAGATGAGAAAAAAATAGATTTGGCTTTTAGCAGCTCAACATCTAGTCATCCCCAATCTATTTTTCATATCTCATTATAAGAGTGTGATCATTTTAAAAATTTGCATAAGAGATCTTAAATAATATATGAACACTAAAGCTGGCTAGCATTCTTAGCGTTATACAGTGCATCCTGCATTCACGGATGGGAAATGGGCATCACTACTTAATGGCTACAGAAGGTCTCCTGACTCTGGGCTCATGCAGTTTTCCACCACATCGTGTTCCTTCTCACTCCAGGTTAATTCCTTCTTTGATGCATATTCTTTCTTGAACATTCACATATAGTTTTCTATTTTCCAGAGCACTCTTTCCTCCTCCTTTTTACCTGTGAACTACTAACCATGTAGTCTAAGCTTAGCAACACTTCTTGTGCCAAGCCCTTCCTGACCATCAAAGTTGTGGCTAAGTGCCCATTTTAGTAACCTGCTGTACTAGTACATTTTTACACTGCTGTAAAGAACTACCTGAGACTGGGTAATTTATGAAGAAAAGAGGCTTAATCGACTCAGTTCCACAGGCTTAACAAGAAGCATGACTAAGAGGCCTCGGGAAACTTAAAATCATGGCAGAAGGCAAAGAGGAAGTAAGTCCGTCTTACCACGGCAGAGCAGGAGAGAGAGAGCAAATGTGGAAGTGCCACACACTTTCAAACAACCGTATTTCCCGAGAACTCACTTACTAACATGAGAATAGCAAGGGGGAAGTCCGCCCTTGTGATCCAATCACCTCCCACCAGGTCCTTCCTCCAACACATGGGGATTACAATTTGAGATGAGACTTGGGTGGGGACACAGCCAAACCGTATCACCTGCAGTAACACTTTAATAAACAAATGTCTACCTGGATGTTTTCTCCACTAAACTGAAAACTCCTGCAAGATGGCACTTTCCCTGATGTATACCGTGTTGTGTGCCCTGAGACTGCTAAGTATTTGTATTCCCAATGCCTAGCAGTCTCAGGACACACAACAGGGTGTACCTTGATGACTTAGGAATTAACGAATGGATGGATGATGGATCCTCTGTATTTCCTTTTATGAGGAAGAGATTAATTTGTACTTATTCCAATAAACCCACAACAGATTTGTATTTAGGGGCATTCATTCAGTTTCAAGGAGCTGCAACAGTTGAATATTCAGTGCTGTTTTTGTGATAATATTTGACATTGAAGATTATATTAAAATTGATGTTGGTGTTTGTACAGGCATTTTTGAACATTAATCAAACAATGACGGGAAATATTGCTACAAGTTATGAAATTAAGTAGTTGAGGAATGATACAACCAAAGTAAGCAATAGAAACTCTAGTTTTTGTCTAGTGGGGGTGGGGGTTTGGGGAAGATATAAAACCTAGGCTACTCAATCTACTTTCAGCTTCTCATCTACTTCTAGAACCATAAAATATTAATGTATAAGTCACTTTTAAAAATCCTTTATTTGACCTCCAAACAATTTAAGAATTGCTGTAATATCTGTGAAAAGTGGCCCTCTACCCAGTATTTTAATTCTTTGAAATAGTCTCTTTACTTCAGAATAATTAGAAAACTCAAAATAGTAATAGTAATATTAATAATCTTCTCTAAGGTTGTAATCTGGGCTGAGCACAGTGCTAGATGTCAAATATACATAATCTCATATAGCTTTCACAGCAATCATATGAAAACTGTTATTACCCCCATTTTACTAAAAGGGAATAGCCAAGACTGAGAGAAGGCAAAAACATAAGTCCTCATCTGCTAGCAATTATTGGTGATGTGATTTTATATTATTGTCTCAATGACTGCAAAATCCAAAGCCTTTCTTACGAAATATACAAGTTCTCAAATAATGTATTGTTTATATTAATGACAGTTTTTACTTCCCTAATTTTATATATTCATTTTAGTTTTGTCTTTTAGAGCAGCCCAGAAAAATCTCATCCCTCTTTTTCAGCACAGTCTTTCAGAAATTTGAAAATCGTTATTATATACCCTGTAAAACATTTCTACATGAATGGAATTAGTGCCTTTATAAAAGAGACCCCAGAGAAGTATCTTGTTTCTTCTGCCATGTGAGGACACAGTGAAAAGACAGCCATCTATGAAGAGGACCCTCGCCAGACACCAGATCTAGTGGCACTTTGGTCTTGGTCTTTTAAGACTCCAGGAGTGTGAGGAATAAAACACCCAGTCTGTGATATTTTGTTATGTTAGACTGAATGGAATAAGACAATGTTATGGACTGAATTGTTTCCCCTAAAAATTTATGTGTTGAAGACTTCACACCTGAGTACCTTAGAATGTGACCTTACTTGGTGATAGGGTGTTTACGGAGGTAATCAAGCTCAAGTAAGGTTATAAGGTGGAATTTAATCCTGCGTGACAAATTTCCTTATAAAAAGGGTGAATTTCAACACAGAAACATGCATATAGGGAAGGTGATATGAAATTGCAGGGAGGACACCATCTACAAGCCTAGGAGACAGGCCTGGAACAGACAAAAGACCCTCCCCTCACAGCCTTCAGAAGGAACCAATCTTGTCAACATCTTGATTTCAGATAGCTAGCCTCCAGAACTGTGAGAAAAAACATTTCTGTTGTTTAAGCGAGCCGGTTTGTGATGGAACTTAGTTATGGCGGCCCTAGCAAATGAATACATCTACAGATTCTTCAGCTATCTTTTACAACACTTTGTTTCCCGTTGGGTTTTGACCACTGGCATTTTAATGTAGCAATACCCCATTTGAAATTTAATGTCAAGGCTAAACAGATGTAGTCTGACAAGTGAAAAGGAGAGAGAAATGGTTAGCTTAATTTCTCTTTTTTCTAGTTACTGTTCCTCAACACACTATGAGTTGCATTGAGTTCAAACAGCTGAAACTTTGGATTCAGAGTGAGCTTCTGCTTTTTGGATGCACAAACAATGCTTTGAAACCCTTGTGGAGAGGGGAATCCTTCTCCACAAAGTCAGCAGCTCATTAATCATAGACACAAAATTTGGAGAAAAAAATGAACTTTCTGTTTTTCTCCATTTTCTCTCTTTGATGACGCAGAAATGGAAATACATTTTTGTAATACATCTTATTTCAGATCACTAAGCTGAAAGCAATCTACATAGCCATAAATTTGGAAATAACAAGTATAAAACATTTCAGAGTGAAGGAAAAATTTTTTTAAAAAAGAATTTACTGAAAAGTAAAAGTATCTGTCACAACTGTAACAGGACTCTAAGCAAACATATTAAAAGTAGCATTTCTAATCAAATTCATATTCACCAATATCAGAAAAAAAGTAGAATGGGTATTCTCAGATAACCACTTTCTTTGCAAACAAATGATGACTGTTGAGGAGGAATATATAAATCATGATGTTGACCCTCTTTTTGAAGGTAATGTACCTTGAGTTGTTTTCATAAGGGTGGTGATAAATTCTCCCCATCTATCCACAATCTTTATATGCCCACAAATATACATATGTTGTACAAATATGTACGTGTTTAGGTATATATACATATATGTCTATGTGTGTATATGTGTGTGTGTGTGTGTGTGTGTGTGTGTATATATATGAAACCAACCTAGAGGAGGATAAGAATTTTAGCAACAATGTTTTCTCTTGCAAAACTAGAAAACTTACATGAATATCAAGCATATGACTTTGAATTAACACCATGGTCCAAATGAGCTAATGGATTAAATTTCAAAAACATTTCACACAGTGACATATATGGAATATAAGCCTTATTTTTACAAGCATTCACATAGTCACTATTTACATAGTCACAGAGACATAGAATGTGGTCATATTTTACATAAGCTTGAGATAATGTGACATAGCACGTTAGTAAAAATCTCACTTTATGGGCATGAACTAATGCTTTAAAATAAATCTAAGCTTTTTTCCCCCGAATTTTTAAGAATTGCATTATGTGAGAGCCATGGAATCAGTCTGAAGGAATTATAAAACAAGTCGTTGCTCTTGTCACAGGATAATGCTGCCTTGTCCTTTACACAGACCCCCAGACCGTTAGTGACACATCTCCGAATGATTTGCTTAACTCTTGTCCTTTTTTTTTTTTTTTAACATATACTGTTATCTTTAAGAGTTTTTAAACATCTTATAGCAATGTCATACAAGTATTTACTGGGAAATAAAGCATATGCTAATACTAAAAAACACTCTTGACTCTCAGGAATGTTGGAAAGGAAGTTAGGTGTAGTATACAGTATGCAGAAGTCAGCCATAGGTAGCCTTTTAAGATGGCCTCCAATGATCACCTCCGCCTTCTGGTATTTATAGCCTTGTGTAATCTCCTTCCCTTGAGTGTGAGCTGGAGCTAGCAACTCACTTCTATCAATAGACTATGGCAAATGGGATGGGATGTCGCCTCTGATATTAATTTACAAGAGATTGACTTCAGCCTTGTTGGCATATTCCATCTCTCTCTCTCTCTTCAGCACTTTTTGCTTGTGTGTTTTGGTAAGATGAGTTGCTACGTTATGGGCTGCCCTATGGAAAGACCCATGTGGCAAGGAGCTGAGAGTGGCCTCGGGCCAATAGCTGGTGGGGAACTGAGGCCCAGTCTAATAGCCTATGAAGAACTGTATCCTGCCAGCAACCAAGTTCCAAGTGAGCGGGGAAGCTGACCCCCAGTTGAGGTTTGAGATGACTGCAACTTCTTTAACACCTTGATTGCATCATGACTGTGCAAGACCCTGGGCCAGAGGACCCAGTTATGCCATGCCCAGATTTCTGACCAACAGATATGTGAGATAGTAAATATTATTGTTTTAAGCCACTAAGTTCTGGGGTAGTTTGTTACACAGAATAGATACTAATTCAAAGACAAATACTGACCATGTTCTATTTTATTGTTAATTTAGGACAGACTGGGTTTTTTTTGTCGACCCGGCTGGAGTGCAGTGGCATGATCTCAGCTCACTGCAACCTCCGCCTCTTGGGTTCAAGCAATTCTCCTGCCTCAGCCTCCCAAGTAGCTGGGACTACAGGCACACGCCACCACGCCCGGCTAATTTTTTTGTATTTTAGTAGAGATGGGGTTTCACCGTGTTGCCCAGGCTGGTCTCAAACTCCTGAGCTCAGGCAATCTGCCCACCTTGGCCTCCCAAACTGCTAGGATTACAGGCATGAGCCACCACACCCGGCCGACTCTGTGTTTTATGAGACAGATATAATGCTAAGAAAAGAAAAAGCAGCAGGAATGTAAGGATACATTTTGCTGGTTTTGGAGTCAACCTTTCCAAGAATGCATTTCCTCTTTCACATTTTTTTCCTTTGGAAATATTAATCTTAATCTGCATGAATTTGGAATTATATATGATGTTCTAGAACACATTCCTCACTTACTCTAAAAGTAACTTTAATCTATACATATTTAATTGTATTGCTAAAATAACAGAATCTTACTTTTCTCTCTATATATATATATTTTGTTTTTTCAAAACAGAGTCTTGCTTTCAACCCAGGTTGGAGTGCAGTGGTGCGATCATGGCTCACTGTGGCCTCAACTTCCCAGGCTTAAGCGATCCTCCCACTTCAGCCTCCTGAGTAGCTGGGACTATAGGTGCATGTCACCACACCTGGCTAATTTTTTTTTTCAGAGACACAGTCTCATTATGTTGCCCAGGCTGGTCTCGAATTCCTGGGCTCAAGTGATCTGCCCACCTAGGCTTTTGAAAGTGCTGGGAATACAGGCACACACCACCATGCCCAGATAATTTTTGTATAAAATATCACTTTTGATAGAACTTCCAGTTATCAAAAAGTCTTGTCCTTGAGTTGTTAGTGATCATAGTTTGAATCTTTCTTCAACTAAATATATCTTCAAACTATTGAAATAAGCAACAGAAATATACTGATAAGGCTTACCTTGGGAGAGCAGTGCTCAGGAAAGCTAACTACTATCCCAATGCTCAGGAAGGCCAAACTCGAAACTGTCTTGTTACAGCAAAAGAACCAACCAGGCATGGTGGTTTGGGGTAAAATCAACATTTTGTTAATGTTTTGTTTTCAGCCTCAAGTTTTTTTCATTTATGAGTCTGATTTCCTTTTGAGGCTGCATCAACAATTTCAGGCTGGTTAGATACCAGAATCAGCCACCTTTTGCTTCTTTAGCAGAAATAGTTCTTGTTAAATTGAGTTGAAAAAGTTATTATATTGCAAGAATGAGATGCTTCATTCGCCTGTCGTTAAGATCAGGTCTTGCAGATGTTTAATTCATACGCTAGCCTTCTGAGGTCAGGATTATTATCCCTATTTAGGGGATCTGGAAACCAAGGCAAAAAGGTTGAGTAATTTATCCTAGGTCACAGGAGGGATCAGTGTCTGAGCTAGGATTACAGTTCAGAAAGCCCCAAATTCCAAGACCTATGATCAGACTGCACTTATTTCAAGCCGACTTGGCCTACTTAAAATAAGTCCTCCCTCCCTTACTCCTGCCCCCAGGGCACTCTGTTGAGTATTTGAACTGCTGTCAGCAAATGTGAAAGAGGTCTGGAGACACAGCCTAGAAATATACCAGAGATTGGCCAGTTGGTTGGGCTTCATTATAGCTTGACAGGCAGTTTCTCCTCCAAAATTGGTTTTCATATAGGAATTTTCAAAAGGTTTTTTTCAAATGTAGGAATATTAAAGCAATTTATTTGGCCTTCATTAGTCTTTATCTCATTCATCAGAACTTAAACTATTTAGGAGTAGGAAATAACAGCAAAAGAGGCTGCCTAATCATGGTAAATACTACGACAGAAGTTTGCATAACTTTGGGAATATATGCTGGTACCTGGTTTTCCATTCAGAATTTTCCCTAATAAGGGTCTCTGCATTTACCAACTACATTTATTTGTTTCCAGAGTTTTATGAGACATGTATTTGAAAAGAAGATACAAAGAAAAATATATGTGTATGTATGTATGTGTGTATTTGTATATGAGTAAAAGTAATAAAATTCTTAAGCCAGTGTGAAAGAGAAAGAGATGTTCAGAAGAAATATTTTTAGAGTACTGGATTTGGAGGCAAAATACCTGGGTTTGCCTGCATTTTTTTTTTTTTTGGCCAGTTTTACGATCTTAAGCAAATTATTTAATCTCCTTGAAGGTACAAAGATAAACCAAATGGCTCTTGATCATTAAAGAAAGGGTTCAGTGTGGCAGGAAAGATAGATAGATCACCAGCCAGGATACAATGTAATCTGTGCTAAATTAGTGTTATGATCAAAATGCTGAGGGAACATACAGGCAGCAACATTTAAGCCTAACCTTGATTTTCACTGCATACAAAACAGAAAGCATTTTAACTAGAATGACCAGGGCAGACTTGTGGTGTAAGACTACAAGGCTTAAGTGAGAAAGGTTAAGTCCTGGATGACTGGACTACTTGAATCACCAGGGCAACTTGAGAAAAGTTACAGGAGATGAAGATGAAAAGGAAGAAGGGGGCAAATCTGGGGACCAGGCTAAGGAGCCTAGACTGTGAGACAAAGGGAGATAGCTGTTCATGAATACAGGTATTCATTCATGCCTTCCTTCAAATTTTCATTCATTCATTCATTCAAATTTATATTATCAGGCACCCTAATGCTTTCTAGCAGAGACACAGATGTTAAAGACATCTCTAAGTATACACTTAGAGAGAACTCTCAATGTGGGTGACAGAATGCTTTGGAAGATAGACAAGTAAACAGGCAATTACCGAGGTAGTGAGTACCATGATGGATGCACAGGACACAGAGGCAGAGAGACAGAAGAGCAAGGCTAGCCTGGGAGGTCAGCAAAGACTTTCTGCAAAAGAAGGTGTCTTAGGGGAGTCTTAACAGGGAAACAGGAGGAAGCAAAGGAATAAGAAGGGACAGGATTAGGGGGCATGGAAAACAGCATGCGTAGAATCAAGAGACATGGACGTGAGACTCGCCCTTTTGATTATTCATAAAGCTTTGTGGAAATGTCACTGACTTTTCCAACTTACTTCAGTGCTGTGGAAAACATAAAGCACCACAGGCCTATGAGGAACTGGAAGGGGTGCCAGTAAAGAATAGATTCAACTAGAGCAACAAGAAGCAGTGATGACTGTGAGTCACAGAGAGACACCATCAGAATTCACACAGCATGTTATTATGCCCGGGACTCGTCATTGCTTAGGGTCAACACAGTTGAACACTAATTTGTTAAATTAAGCTCTAATGATGTTTGCCTCATTCAGTTTCTTTACTGGCCAGGAAATAATTTATTATTCTCATCAAATTAATTGTAAATTGAGAAACTAAGAGATAAAGAGTTGAGGGGGGCCATAAGAGCTGATGCTGAAGGGTAGAGGAGACTCTTACTAAGGAAAGGGGATTGGGCTGGCAACTGAAAAGCATGCCTGTTACAACACAGTCTCTCTCTCTCTCTCTCTCTCTCTCTCTCTCTCTCTCTCTCTCTCTCTCTCTCTCTCTCTCTTCCCCACACCTTCTCCAAGTCACTGAGTCCCAGCCTCTCAGAAGGCTGAGGTGAGAGGATCACTTGACCCCAAGAGGTCAAGCCTGCAGTGACCTATGATCTTGACACTGTACTCCAGCCTGGGTGACAGAGTGAGACCTTGTCTCTAAAGAAAGAAAATAAATAAATAAATAAATGAAGATACCCAAAGAAGAGACTCTGTCTCAAAAAAGAAAAAAAGTGTGGTAGAAAACACTGAAGAATAGTGTGAGGCAATGATGTTTAAGAACACGCCAGTGTCATTGAAATCATGACTGTGGAAGGGGAAAGCAATACTCACAGGTGTATCACAGAGACTTCCTGGAAGAGGCTGGATTTAAGGATGGATTTTAATGAAATGTTACTTTTGGATTGATCAAGAGGAAAGGAAAGAGCATTTGCATATCAGGTTCAGAAATATACATCAGAACATAAATTAAAAGGAAATAAAACACACTAAGAGAATAACAAATGATGAAACATGCTCAAAGTGAAACATACAATAACATCAGAGGATCATTTAATATTCACCCAGTCGTCAGTTTATGGGCACTTATTGAGTATAATACATGTGCCTAGCTCATTGCTAGTTGCAGTGAGGAAATATAGGAAGGAGACATTTCTGCATTCAAGAGGCTCAGCTTCTTGGGCAAGAGATGAGAATGACACATGACATTATCTGCCTTACAATGTTAAATAAGTTTGTGTTACATGTTTGTTTCTGTGGTACAATCCTATATTTAACAGAGCTCAAAATGGAGAAAGGAACAGAGTAAGAACAATGGCTTCAGGAGGAAAATGCAATGATAGAAGCTTTGAAAGAAAGACAACTAGAATTCAGGTAGATACCAAAGAGCACGGAGGGCATTTCCTGAAATTAGCTGAATGTGATATTTTGCAACTGTTATTATGAGAGACTACGTATATAGGGGATCCTAATTTAATTCTGTTTGGATAGATGAATTCCTTTTGACAAGTTTAGACCAAGTTCATATTTCCCATGGCAATTTTATTTCTCTTTCATTTTCCTTTAGGTCATAGTAGATGATGATACCTGCCTGTCTGACCTTTGAGGAAGGGGAATTTCTGAAACCTAAGGCTTCCTTGTATTGCTCAATTCAGTGAGAAAGAAATCACTAATGATAGTAAGCATTCTGTCATTTTTCTAACACTTATTAATTATTAAAACTTGTTAAGTAATAAACTAGTTTATGACAGCAGTTGCTCTATTTGTATTATAATTATTATCATCATTATTACCTTAAAGATGTGTTTTTTAGTAAAATTTGATTGTAAAATTTAAATAATGTCAATAGAATTGAGGGGTATTTTGAACAGAATCTGAAATACAAACATAAACTCAGGCATTCAATTTTAAAAGTATGGAACAACTAACTGTTCACAGCATGCTGGAAAACACTTGGTAGAGAAAGTGAGATTGGGGTCACTGGGAGCATAGATGGTAAAAGTGTGGCTTCATTATGACTAAAAAAAACATTCCATTCCTAAGAAAATCTCATATCCTGGTAAGCAGTTGGTCTTCTAGTAGAAGAGAATTAAAAAAAAAAAAAAAGGACACATTGCGGTTGGGAACTCTAAAACATACCGAGTTACCTCTCTGATTTTATTTAGCCTAAAGTGAACATATTTCATGATGAAGGCTAGAACTGCTCATGCTAAGCTGAAAGTGATAGAAAGAAATTAGAACTGTCTCTTTCAACCTCTCAGGAGAGCAAAGGGGTTAGTGCAGTGGGGAAGGCTGGTGACGTGGCCAAGTTTATGAGCTGATGATGGTGAAAGCCTGATTCTTTCCTTTCATCACAGATTTGACTGGCCAGTAATGCAGTGCAATGGCTGGATTTTCTTTCAAATCAGTGACTTGAGAAATGCTATTATCCCTTGGTTTCCCACCTGTTGACAAACTGCTAAATAATATGGGTGATTGGTTGAAGTGTTACATAAATAAACACATCGTTGCTTTGATATGATCATTTGCAAAGCAGCAAGAAGACTTTCATACCCTATTTAAAGATATATTTAGGAACAGAATTGAAAAACTGCAGGCTTAAGAATCAGAAAGGTCAGGAATGAAATTGTCAATCTACTACTTGTAATCTTGGAGAAAGTGATTTTGCCTCTCTTAGCCTCAAATTTCTGGTCTAAAATTGAGGTTAATAAGCTTAATTACATAGGCTTGTTTAGATAATTACATAAGGTAACCATTGCAAAATTAATCTGTTTTGGTGAATGCTCAATAAATATTAGCTCTCTTCCCTTACTCAACAAAGTATAGGTTATCAAAAATTGGGATTGTGAGTAGAAACTGGAAGTTACTGCCAGCAAGTTCCATTCTAAGAATCCCATGTCATAAAAATGAGAGATGAAAGAGGCTATATTTCAGCTACATTTGTCACTTGTTTTTATTAATCACACACATACACCGAACATTTTTATATTTAATTGAAAGATGAAAAGTTGTAATTAAATGAGAGGAGTGGTACATTTAGAGTCGAGTATGGGTAAAGTTTGTAAGAGCGCAGATAGATGAGTGTTAAGAATCCTATTTACTAAGTGGCTTCACTTCTTGAGCTTTGGGGAAATGGCTCTTTCATAATTTTAAACAGTTTGTGAATTCTCCTTCAAGTCAGGATTGTCAAGGGGAACTGAATATAACCTCTGTCTAATTCCACTCGGTATTTCATTTCTTTTTTGTTTGCAAGGTATTAATTATTAAATGTGCTTCATATTGATAATTATACTGCATCTTATTTATTAATGACTCACTATTAAGCTTAAACTTAATATCTCCAGAGGTTCTCAGGTCTCTACCTTTGCAGGTCATTGCTCTTTTTCTCTTTGCCGGACTGACAGCTGAGAGGGTTTCAAGCTTTGGGGTTTAAGGTAGATAGGTTTTAATGGTGTGATTACCCACGACACAGTTCATTACCACTAATGGAGTTACCCATGCACCCAAAGGGAGAAAAGTGATCCTGCACAATAGTGAACTAATAGGCAATAAATTATTACACCTGAGAAAGGCAATCATACGTAAGAGCAGTAAATGGCCAGTGCCCAAAAGAAAGGTACCTATTTTTATTTTGCCTGAAGTGTGTGTCTCTTTTTCAGAAGGACAAAGTTTATTTTGAAAGAAAAAGGAAAAAAGAAGTTCCACTTTTTCTTTTGATCAGTGTAGACATGGCAAGAGACACAAAATAATCAAGGCAAAAATTGAATTTACTCTTTATAATACTGCTTTGCATAACCCATTTCCATGTTTGGGCTTCTCTTAAATTGAGAATTATATATGAATCTTTACATTCAAGGTTTCAGGAACATAGATTGCAAATTTATATTATGAGGGGATAAAAGTTCACTAGCTTGTTCCACAAAGGGAAAAACATACTGTAACTAGCAAACATTGTTCATGCGTTTTTTGATATTTAATTACAACGGCAAAACCTCTTAAACCTGAGGCCTACAATGCTCATATGGCACTTTGGAGACCAGAGCCTTTGGTGCCTTGGTCTCCCCAGTCAGGAATCAATCCCTCAGACTACTCGATCACATTCCACTGAGCAGATAAGCTTTTCTGCCCCTGCACCCTAAAGGCATCTCTGGCAATTGTTTTCCTGTGGTTTACTGCTCCCATAGCTGGCTTATTTTGTAGACTACTTCCAATATCTCCAAAGTAACCCCTTCTGATTTTCACCTCCAGTAACAGAAATTCTTAATGAGCCTTTTCTCACGCACAAGAAAGAAAGCTTCCCTGACGTTCTAATGTTAAGCTGAGATTTTGAAGCTCCCATCCATCCCTGAAATTAGAAAACCCCAAATCTTTCATCCAGGTAATTATACTCTACAGTCTCTCTCTTATGCTTAGCCGGTAAAGCCATCCTCACTCATCCAAGGTAAAACACTATCCTCCATGGTGGTTCCAGTTTGAATATCTTGGGGTCCATTTTGCCTCATTTTTTTTGTTAGGAGAGTAGTAAATGTGCTTGGTCAGAAATGGGGGCATGTCCTCTTTGCATTTTTGTTTAAGAGGCTGAATGTGTGTGTGTGTGTGTGTATGTGTGTGTGTAAGTATATATTTTTAAAAAGCATTTAAATAGTTTTAGACTCACAGAAAAGTTGCTAGATATTACAGAGAGTTCCTGTCTACTCCTTTCCCAGTTTCTCCTATTGTTAATATTTTATGTTACTATGGTGCATTTTTACAACTAACATACATTATTATTAACTCAACTCTATACTTTATTTAGATTTTCCTAATTATTCCCTAATGCCATTTTTCTGTTCAAGGATCTGATCCAGCATACCACACTACATTTAGCTATCAAATCTCCTTTGTTTCCTGTGTGACAGTTTCTCTGGCTTTCCTTGTTTTTGATGACCTTGACAGTGTTGAGTACTGGACAGGTATTTTGTACACTGTCCTTCAATTTGGATTTATCTAAAGCTTTTCTCATAATTAGACCAGGGTTATGTATTTTGAGGAGGAAGATCACAAAGGTGAGATGCCATTCTCATCTCACCATGTCAAGCGCACTTGTTATTGGCATGACATCACTAATAATGTTGACCTTGATCACCTAGCTGAGTTAGTGTTGCCAGGTTTCTCCACTGTAAAGTTACTCTTTCTCCTCTCCTCACTTTCCACACTCTACTCCTTAGAAGCAAATCAATAAGCCAATACACTTAGTCTACAATCAATGAATAAGAGTTAAGATTCAAATCCTTAGAGAGAATATTTACATAGATAATTCAGAATTTTTCTGTAAAGGATATTTGGCACTTCTCCACCCACTTATTTATTAATTAAATCACTTATTTGTATCAGGATCATTACCTCTTTTATTCATTGCTAAGTCCCTAAGCAATGTCTGCATGTAATGGTTTCTCAATTAATAAATCTTAAAAGAATTAATGTAACCACAAGGTCAGAAGGTACCCAAATGCCCTCTGATAACTTCAATATTAATTCAGCGCAAAAATTCTAGTAGCTCTCTCTTTTTTTTAATCTATAAAAATGGGAAAGTAATACCTACTTTGTAGAATTGTTTTGGGACAGTGGCCAGTGCAAGCACAGCTCCTGGAACATAGAGAGTGCTCCAGTAATCGTGATTATTCTTATCTCATAGAGATGTTTATTATCCAATTCAGAAGTTCAAGTCAGTGAGAAGCAAAAATTCCCAGTGATTACTGTGGGCTACATGTATAGGTGACCTGCCTTTAAATTATGGAGTCTCAAGCTATAGATTGGTGTATAATTTTCACTTGTAAAATAATAATTTCTTTGCTAATATAAAAATAAATTTAATATTTATAACATTCTGTTGATTTAGCTATATACTTTCTCCACCTTGGTAAAGTTTTGGTCATAGAGCTTTTTGTTCTCTTACAGTTTGCATTCTTCGGGGAATAAAATTGTAAATGGCTTTCCTTTGGTGCTATAATAACCCTTTTTTCTTTATATAGAACGATACAATTATATAGATTCCATAACAGGATTATGCAGAAATCTTGTTTACTGTATTTAAACAGAAGAATTTTTTGGTACTAATTCTGGTTATGGCTGTGATTTTGCCATTAAGTAATGCTGAAGCTATCAGAGAACATTCGAGTTGCTTCTGACCCTGTTAAGATTCATTAACTGAGCTATCACTACATGTGGGTATCACTTTAGGTGCTCAAGATTTAGTGGTGAATAAAATAGCTAATAATCCTGCTTTTATGACAATAGAATTTAAAAAAGCATATATATATGTCTGTATGTATAAAATTTTAAAAGTATATGTGTGTGTGTGTGTGTGTGTATGTTGGTAGTAAGTGCTGTGGAGAAATGATAAGAGAAATATGAAATGTGGATGGAGGAAACAAGCATAATTTGCTCTTTCACATTGGAAGGACTCACTAACAGTGTGATACTTAAGAAAAGGCATAGGGCAAGTGAGAGAATAAACCACCCTGATGTCAGAGAGAACATTCCAGACAGAGAAAATAGTAGATGCAAGCACCCTGAGGTGGGAGAATAATCCAAGTATTTAAGGAACAGCAAAGAAATGAATACATATTAGAGCAGACTTTCAGATATGGATATTTAGCATTCATGACCAAACTAAAATTGAGTTAAATTAAATATATTCATTGTTTAAAAGTAATTCATAGTTAAAAGGAAAACTGAAATAGAGATATATTATCCACAATTACTTTTATCTTCAATGCCGTCATTTATTTCTATAAATAAATAACAAAATAAATGTATTGAAATATATTTGAGTTCCTGGTGAGCAGGCATTCTCATTGCTTATGCTTAGCAAAACAATTTTGCTTTAAGTTGCTACTAATATTTGATTCAAGAGTCTTAAGCTTGGCTGGGCGCGGTGGCTCACGCCTGTAATCCCAGGACTTTGGGAGGCCAAGTTGGGCGACTCATGAGGTCAGGAGTTTGAGACCAGCCTGGCCAACATAGTGAAACTCCGTCTCTACTAAAAAAAAAAAAAAAAAAAAAAAAAAAAATTAGCTGGGTGTGGTGGCAGTCACCTGTTATCCCAGCTACAGGAGGCTGAGGCAGGAGAATCGTTTGAACCCAGGAGGCGGAGGTTGCAGTGAGCTGAGATCGTGCCACTGCACTCCAGCCCAGGCAACAGTGCAAGACTCTGTCTCAAAAAAAGAGTCTTAAGCTTTATAAAGGCTTTTTCTCCCTATAGAACATACACTAAGTGTATATTCCATTTATCTAATATTGTTGGCTGTAGTCTTCTCCTGATACAGTGCATAGATTGACTTGACATACCAGATTAACTGAGATCAAGTTAATTATTAATATGAGAAATGATTGTATAAAAATCATTATGTTCCTAAGATATGTGTTCTTTAATATTTATAAAAATTATAAACGTAAACTGTGATATTCATGACCTATTTCTTTCTATATTTGGACTCAATTCAATGCTTTAAAATATTTTTGTTTAAAAAACTTTATAATTTTGTCTCAAAACATCCACGTATAAAAAGTATAATAAACTTAAACATTTTGTCCTTTATCCTCAATTCAGTGTTCACAGAGGCCTGTGTTTTCATTGCAGCAGGCAGTCAAATTTCAACAGCGAGGCAATATTGTTTTGTACCTGTGATATTTGTAGGAAGACATCTTCAGATGGGTTATGCCTGCTGGGAGCTCAGCTGTCTTCCCTGTAAATTTCAGACACCCCAAGGGGTGTCTTCTTTGTGGATGATAATCACTGTATTTGGATTGGAACAATGTGGCCTTCTTTAGTGCCTGCATGCACACCCATGTGTGTGTATGCGTGTGTGTGTGTGTGTAATTTAATTTTAAATTTAGGTCAATAGTTTGGTTTAGGGAAAGAACACTCTCTGTGTCCCTGGAAATACTGAAAAGCAAATATTTTCAAATGACATTGGGTTGATTGGGCTAGGTTAAAATTAGGTCAATTTATTTTTTAATCCCAAATATTACTTTAAAGATAATTAATACTTTCTCATTAATAGAGTTGCAAGTGTTTTCTAGATCATTTCTAAAAATGAAGACATAGGTTTATGAATTTTGACAAAGAGAAACAGTTGCCTAAAAGTAAACATTTTTCAACAAAATAGTTATTTTTACATCTTTCAAAAATGTAAACATTCTACCATGATATATTTTTGTATGTGCTGGGTAAATATATAGGCCCTCAGGGGGAATGAAAGGCCCTGATTTGTAGCATTCTCTGCTTTCTGTTTTGTGCATACTCCCACTATGGCCAATTACAAATGACCAACAATGTAATACCTGGCTCACAAAATTCCTGAACATTTATTAATAGGCTCTAGTGAGTCCACAAGAGCAGGCTCCAGCACCCCTAGAAAGTAGTTATCCTCTTTCTCTGGGAAAATGGCAATACAGGGCCTACTGGTAACTTTTAGAACTGTCTGAATTATCTTCTTTCAACTTATTACTTTTCTGATCTTAGTCGGTTTTCATTAATCTAGCAAGGACAGGGCAGTATCCTTTTGACTGTATGGGAACTGCAAGAAGTAATGGAACAGCTGTGACCTTTGGATTGCCTAATAACTTGCTAAATTAATGGCACCTGGTGTAAGTGCACAGTAGACATAATCTCGATCTCACTCTTTCCCCTAGTTCTTTTCTTGACTTCCACGGAACTTCCTTTCTCTCTAGATCTAAGCTTACAGCATAAACTAAAATTTGGGGGCATAAATGCAATATGTTCTCAAGTTTAATATGCCCTCATTTGCAAAATATACCTTTGATTTTATAGTGGTTTTCATGGAAAGCAAACTACAGTTATGAAATACATTCTTTTTCCAGAACCAGAAGTGTGTGTGTGTGTGTGTGTGTGTGTGTGTGTATGAAAACTAAGAGTGTACAATGTGTAATAAGGAAACCAGGTGATGATATATGAGCAATTTTGAAAGCTTTGGGATAGTGTCAGCACACCTATCCTAGGATTGTGCTCTTTCAATGGGAGAAGGGGGAGGGATAGATTTTTTCTCCCTCTTAATAGTTTCAAATAATCGGCACCCTTAAGTCACAACATTTGTAGGTAGCGAGTGGACTCCAAACTTCTATGCTGCCTACTATAAGAAAAGGAGCTTTGCAACAATTTTTATGTCTTCTTAACTGTCTTTGAAAGTGTACTGTTACCAAGCAACAAGAAAAAAACAAATAACTGTTAAAAAGTGGGCAAAGGACATGAACAAACACTTCTCAAAAGAAGGCATACAGGTTGCCAACAAAATGAAAAACAGCTCAACATCACTAATCATTAGGGAAATGCAAGTTAAAACCACAATGAAATACCATTTCACACCAATCAGAATGGCTATTATTAAAAAGTCAAAAAATAAAGACATTGACAACAATGACTAGAAAAGGGAACGCTTATACACTGTTGGTAGGAATGTAAAATAGTTCAACCCCTTTGGAAAACAGTTCTTTGAGTGATTTCTCAAAGAACTAAAAACAGAACTACCATTTGACCCAGCAATCTGACTGCTAGACATCCACCTAAAAGAAAATGATTTTTTGTTATCTAAAAGACACTTACACTCATATGTTTATCAAAGCACTATTCACAATAGCAAAGTTATGGAGTCAACCTATGCACCCATCAATGGTGGATTGGATAAAGAAAATGTGGTACATATACACCACGGAGTACTTAAAAAAGAATGAAATCATGTCCTTTGCAATAACATGGCTGGACTGGAGGCCATTATCCTAAGTGAAATAACACAGAAAATCAAATACCACATGTTCTCACTTATAAGTGGAAGCTAAATAGTGGGTACACATGGTCATAAAGATGGAAATAATAGTCAATGGGAACTCCAAAAGGGGGAGTGAATTGAAATAGGGGGATGATAGTTGAAAAACTACCTATTGTGTACTAGGTTCACTATCTGGGTGATGGCCTCACTAGAAGCCCAAACCCTACCCATGCAACAAATCTGCACATGTACCCACTGAATCTATAATACGGTTTTAAAAAGGTATTGTTACACTCTCAGTTGGAACTGCTTAATACATCTGATACCTGAAATTAGGACAGATGAATGACAATACTGAAACCAACTTCATTATATAATCACATGACGATGTGACAGAAATTGACATTATTATTTTTAAGGTAAAACAGCAAATGAAAAATTTACATTGAAAGAAATCTTTATTTCCCTTTCTCTTTTGTATTTTTGTGTGGCATTTCTTAAATTCCAAGATTTCTCACTTTAAGAAAAAACTCCATCTTTATCTCCAGCCACCTCTCTATGTTTATACATCTACATATTATTGAACTATTATCTATGTCTCATCTATGAATCTGTATGTCTATCTATCTATATCTATCTATCTATCTGTCATCCATCCATCCATCTACCATAGTATTCAAAGTAAGTGCAAGAACATGACTGTAGATTGGAAATCTGAAGCATGAAAATAATATTTACTGTTACATGTGCTTTCAATATCATCTTGGCCATTGATAACATAATAAAAACGTGTTTATTCAGTACTCTTTTTTCTTTTTCTTTTTTTTTTTTTTTTTTTGCTATGTCTTTTTCCTAGCCTAGAGCCTTATTTTAGCCATTCTCTAAGTTTTCTACTTATTGAGCAGAATGAGAAGTGTATTTGATATATATAGTATCTGGTATTATGAGAATTCATTTAAAGCAAAACAAAGTGAGAAATAGGTTGCATTAAAATACTTTTATTGACAAATTTCTAATTTATGAAGGCAAGAGAGCAATTTTGCATGGTGAGCACATTGTTAATTAATTCAGTAAACATGCCAGACCTCAAGTTAGAAAGACCAATAGGAGTAGGAAATTTCCTCTAGAATTTTAACGGGTTGTGGGAAATACAGTAAAAGTATAGATATTAGTCTTTCACCCAGACCAAGGATATCAGAATCCCATGAGGTTGAACATGGGCATATGCTTTTAATAAACCTAAAAAAAATCTGTTTTTAGTGATTTTTATTGTATTGCTATGTTTAGAAATTTCTGGCCCATATTGTGTGTGATCCACAGAATAAATCAAATTTACATTAGGGACACCTTTTTTCTCTTTACCTAACAGGCAAATATATTCTCCTCTTAAAAACATTTGTTTTCCTAGCTTGAGGTTTTGCTACAGAAAAGTCCTATCTAACTTCTCCTCTCCAACATTCACACTTCCCAAACTTCTCCAGTCTTAACTCTAGAGTCACTATTTTAGCTGGGGACACCCAACTAGACAAAAGTAGTTTAGCCCTCAGTCAATTCTATATTGCTTCTATGGTGAAGCTAAGATCATCTCTTCTTTCTGATTTTGAAATTCTTTTTCTGCTTAATTTAATGAGCCCCTACTCTATAATGCACTAAGCTTGGTACAGGAGGAATATAAAGATAAATATGACATGTGCTTGTATCCCACTGAAGGAGATTGATGTGATGTAAGTAAGCATAATGTAAAACAAAAATCAGGTTTATGATAATAAGCTGAAAGTTTCCAAGTCTCCAAGTATTCTTTTATGTCCAATAAAATAATTCAAGTCTCCATCTCACACAATCTGAGGAGTCCAGTGCCATTTCTGGTGTTTATGATGATTCCTGCCTGGTGGTGCTTACAATCACCTAGTACGCGCATTTTTCACTCCGCAGTCAGTCCTGGATCACTTATCACCACTGCTGCCTGTCTCTTCCTGGTTCTCAGGGCTTTATCCCAAGTGTGGACATGTCTCCTTTTCCGAAAGAAGCACAAATATGAGGCTATTGTGTTGGGTAGCAGGCTTTAGAGACAATGGAGGTTCATTATAGTGTGGACACCAACTACACTTGGGTACCAAGTTATTTTGAAATTCCTCACTTAGGTCAGACTGCATATGGAAATTACTCACTCATGATGTATTTCTTTTGGTTCCAGACCCCCCAACATACTGCCAGAGTTCATCGTCACACTAACCAAAATCCACTTCCATCTCCATTTCCCAAGTTTTAGAAATAACTTCCCAAGTCACCAGGTAGAATCCAAAGTTAAATATACTTAGTTGTGCAGAATAAATTTGCTCCTTTCAATTTCAACCTCTTTTTTCCACACCATCCTGGGAGCAATTCTGGGTACAAGCAATAGACTCTGATAAATATTTTTACAAGCCAAACCACATTTTCTCAGTATCAATTGTAACAGTAGCCATTTTTATTTCTTTGCCCATTTCATTACAGAGACATAAACTAATTGCCCTAGGAATGTGTACTTTTTGGAATGCGTCCTACAACATATAACAATGGTCGGGGAGGGAGTGGGGGAGAGACATTCTTTTTGAGGTCAAGGACTATCTTTCTTTACTATATTCCTAAATACTAATATAGTTCCCAATACAAAATTGTCATTTATTATGTTTATAGAATGAATAGATAATTGAATGTTAAAAATATGCATCTGGCTTTTTTAGCCATGGCATATGAATGCCAAATCATTTGAGAAGTCTGGGAGACATGGAACACCTGTGTGGGCTGAGACAGGATATGTGGTTTTGTGTGATTGTCCACTTAAGCAGGCAATTAATTTTTCACATAATCAGTTATTGAATTGGCCATTCACATAATGTTAATGCATTTGAATTTGCAATTAATCTCTATTTTATTTAGAGCATTTTATATCTATCTTCCAATTCTGATGTAACAGTACATGGACTTGACTTTTTAAGTGGATTTACCACTAAGCACACATGTGCACACACACACACACATTCACACAAAGGACTGGGGAAATTAGAGAAGTAAAGTCAGACATTTTGGCTTTTCAGAAGACATTTTCTAATGATTAGATAGATCTAATTTCACAGAACTTTTTTAAAAAACATGGAATATTTAAATTTTGAACTTTCTTTTCTAGATCAAGTGTTGCCAAACTTTTTCTGTAAGGGGTCAGATAGTACATATTATAGGCTTTGTGGATCATACGTTCTCTGTCTCAACTGCTCAGTATACAAATTTGTGGACATGGCTCAGGAAAGCCTATCGTAAGCATGGCTTCACAATCGAGTGTTTAGTGACGTGTATTTGGTAGCTTGCAATCAGCCACGGTGAGAGTATTTACACAACAGAAATCAGCAAATGCTACAAATAGGAGGTGTTATTTTACTTCCCTCCAGAGAGCAAGTCCTTAAGCATTTATCAGCACAGCTCTGCAGCATAGCTTTGTATCATACCATTGGACGACATAATTTAAAATTTTGGCCAATTTAAAAAATAGTGTATTTAAACATATTTTCCATTTGGTTGATTCCAAGTGGGGTTAAATTGTTTTATCTTAACCAGCTGCTTTATTTTAATTTAATTAATTAATTAATTAATTAATTAATTAATTTTTGAGGCAGGGTTTTGCTCTGTCGCCCCCGCTGGAGCGCAGTGGCACAAACAGAGTACATTGCTGTCTATCTTCTGGACTCAAGTGATCTTCCCTCCTCAGCCTTCTGAGTAGCTGGGACTACAGGTATGTACCACTACACCTAGATAATTTTTTTTAAAATTGTTTGTAGAGACGAGGTCTCCCTTTGTTGCCCAGGTGTTGGTCTTGAACTTCTGGGCTCAAGGTATCCTCCTGCCTTGGCCTTCCAAAGTGCTGGAATTACAAGCGTGAGCTACTGCACTCGGCCATTTTTATTTATTTTTAAATAGGCTGTCTATGTTCATGCCTGTTTGTCATCAAGAAAGTCTTTGTGTTTTATGAGTAACTGTCCTCATCTCTTTATTGTCCTACCTTTACTATAGTTATTTCTATAAATTTATAATCTACCAAACATCTGTAACCATACACATTAGGAGGATTCAAACGTACACGACTCCATAATGCCTAGCATCATGCTAAATATATAACAAATACTCAATAAATACTTTAAAATTAGGTGATAATATGTATTAAATCTTGGCTCATTCTTGCTCTTGCTTGCATTAATATTTCTTTTATTATAATATGTTTTTAAGAAAATAGGAGCTGAACATCAAATAATTACATTTTGTTTCACAGTTTAATAGTCTGAAAAATTTGATTATTTTCACAGATGCAGATAGAAATATTAGTTTTATGAGAAACTATTTCTTAAAGGATGAAACATTCCACAAAATATATTTTATCACAGACTATGGGTGAGTACTAAAGTTTTTTGATATTTGATTTATTAAAATCTAGTGACATTTATTCATATAAGAGTAAAAGAATAAGGATATACCTGAAGCAAACAAAACACTACTACTTTTTAAAATCAAATCAAAATGTACGGTAAATGCAATTATGTATATGCATGTTATGAGTAGGATAGGCACAGAGCTGATGGAGAAAAGAGTGTGGGTTGGGAAGAAATTACCCAAAAGACAGATTATTGGGCATGTGTAGAATGAGAATTTCCAGTCTCACTTGACAATGGTGCTTTTAGACTCAATGCACTTTTTTAGCATCAGCTTGTGTAGCCAAAACCTCACTTGGAGCTTTAACCAGGGATTGTAAGTGGAAGAACAGATTAAATTAGAGTCTACCCAGACCTACAGGATAAGTCAAATGCTTGATGCACATACTTGGAAATTGATCCTAAGAAAAGATATTCTTATGTGAGTCCAACTTTAGGTGGAAAACCATGACACTAATACTTGAAAGTAAAATAGCAGAGAGATCTGTGAATGTTGGGACAACTACAGATGGAAGAGGTGAGGATGAAAGGGGTTTAGGGCAGAAATAAGCCACTGAGCTCTCAATGGAATGTCCAAAAGGGAATTCTTTTAAGGTCTAGGAGCACCTCCTAAAGTGCCATAACCATCACTCAGCAATAGTAACTCAACATGCCTTTCCTAGATTATGCCTTGACTAAGGAAATTTTCCCTTGGTTTATTACTCTCACGAATTCTGATGACATTTCACTCTAAACTCATGATTACTCAGTCATTTTTTCTTCTCTGGTTCCTACTTCTGTAGACAGACCACTTACACTTACCTTGAAGTCCTGTTCCTCCGCTACTCCCTATCGTGGTCTCTTTCCTGTTTAGTCAATACCCACGTGTACCAAACACTACAGACAGATCCTCCTTTTTAATTCCACTTTAGTTTTTATATTTCCTTAAAATATAAAAATGTTTTTCATAGAAACTCTATAATGTTTATCCTGTCTAGTAATAGTCTATGCCTGAATGTAGTAAAGATTTGTTTGTGTACATGTCCCAATAGCCTTATCTATTACCATTCTACATCTCTTCAATCTTCATTTTAAGTAAAAACACATCCAGCAGATATTGCCTCAACCTTGAGGCATTCTAGGAATAAGACTACTTTTTATGGCTCAGTTTCATTCAAGAATTGTTACTGAGCACCATATTGTATAAGGTCCTGGGGATTTAAATAAGATATTGCTCCTACATATGGAGTGCTTACATGCACTAGAAGAATAAAGAAATAAACAATTTTAATATGATGTGATAAACCCATTGACAGAGGTTCAACTGGCTGTCTAAGCACTTGCTCATTCACTGATTTATTTATATGAAAAAACTTATAGTGGTGTACATTTAAATTTTATTTTCTTGCAAGTTATCTTTCTTTAAAAGAATAAGATTACATAAAAGTTACATTTTTGGTGTATTTATCCATCATTATTTTAAAACAGATATTTTCAAATTGTCAAAACAAATATGATAATTTAGTTACCAAGCACGAACAAGAAATTTTTGTGACTCAAAGAACTGTGGAGGCTAATCAAAAATGCTAAGGATATAAGGAAAACACTATCATTCTATGAAACCAATTACAAATAAATTTGATTTTTCAAAAATAATTTGGTACATGTATAACCAGAGAAATGGTACAGAGAATAGAAACTATCCCTCCAATTCTCCCAGTAAAATGTGTAGAGAAACAATAGCATGTGGATAAACTTTTGTTTTAAACAAAGGAGTGACCTCTATAAGTCTCTTATTATTATGGGTGGTATCCTACCTATGAGTGATTTATAAAGTGGAATTTGTTTGTTTCTCCGAATTCTTTTGAGGATCGATTTGCCTCTAAAAAGTAAATTTTTAAAGAATGCAGAGATATATAGATTCTTATAACTTTTCTCTTGGCATTTTCAACATTAATTTATTATTGAGGATGATAGGTATTGTTTTTCATACACTTGATTGAAGAAACGCCTTTTCAGACCTCTCTCGGCAAGTGTCAGAGTAATTCATGTCTTACATAATCAACAGTTATTTACAGTTTCAATTATAAATGATTAAGTATCCTGTTCCCAAGAGTTTGTTAAACAGTGAAATGACCTCTCGATTTTAGCATTCACACCCAATAATGTGAAGATAATTTTATGCATTTACTTATATTTGGCATGCTGATGTTTTCTTGTGAAAATTATCAAATAGTTTCAACTCTTTGTGACTGCACATACTTTCTTCAAGCCTCATTAAAATATGATTTAAGGTCACAGATATCATCACAAAGATTATTACCCAACAATGATACTATATCAAGCAAGCAATCAGGATTCGAGTTAATCAGATAGTTTAACATGAACACCTCTTGTTACTTGCTGCCTTATATCCAAACTAGAGTAAATATTGTGACTAGAAGTATTTTCCTGCATGTATTACCATTTAAAAGAGGGTCATGATTCTGAAAAAGTGAAGACATTCACATGTAGCTTTTATTATTCACATATTCTATCTGACTATTTTGGAAATCAGAAAAAATGGAAAGCAGAAGATAAATTGTATATGCACCATCATAGTTTCTTTTTTCTAAAGTAAGGTGTTTTAGACCATTTTATAAAATCATGAAAGTCCTAAATTATAGAAATTATAGAAAGACTAGAAAATTAGAAAAATCCAGTCTTATTAATAATTAAATATTTCTCTATTTTATTTTTTGAGATGAAATTTTGCTCTTGTTGCCCAGGCTGGAGTGCAATGGTGTGATCTTGGCTGACTGCAACCTCCACCTCCCAGGTTCAAGCGATTCTCCTGCCTCAGTCTCCTAAGTAGCTGGGATTACAGGCATGCGCCACCACACCTGGCTAATTTTGTATTTTTAGTAGAGATGGGGTATCTGTATTTCACCATGTTAGTTAGCCAGGCTGATTTCAAACTCCTGACCTCAGGTGATCCACCTGCCTCGGCCTCCCAAAGTGCTGGCATTACAGGTGTGAACCACCACGCCCAGCCAATAATCAAATATTTCAAATATGAATCTTAAAATGTAATTGTTGATTTAAGAATGAAAAAATTTTTTTGTTTCTTGAATTAATAATTTTTCTCCCACTAACACATAATAATTATTTTCATTTTGTTTTTAAACTTTTATGTAAAATATAACATATATACAATAAAGTAAACAAAAAATATGTGAATTATTACAAAGTAAATATGCCTAGGTATCCAGTGCTGAGACTAAGAAATAGATCATTATCAACACTCTGAAGACTGCCTCATGATCCACCAAATCAGTATTCCTTCCCTCTGTCCAAGATATAACCACTGTTCTGACTTCTCAAATTGCAATATAATTTTGTCTGTGTTTGCATTTTATGTTAACATAATCATATAGTACTCTTTGTGTTTGGCTTCCTTGCCTCAATATTACATGTAGGAGATTAACCCACGTTGTTCTGATGTACCCGGAGGCCATTCATTTTCACTGTTTTATAGTATCCCAATATATGACTGAAACAATCAGTGAAAATTCTAGGCCATTATCTCTTCAAGTATTACTTCTGCCCTGTTATCTCCCTTTTCTCCAATTACACATATAATAGACCCTTTTACCTCTTTACTATATCCTGTATGTCTTCTATACTCTTTTCTATATGTTTTATTCATTTGTCCCTCCATGCTTTAGGTTGCTTATTTTCTTCTCACTTATCTTCTAGTTTACCAATTTGTTCTTTAGTCGTGTCTAATTTGCTGTTGAATCTATCCATTGAGTTTTCTTTTTTGACTAGTATACCTTTTAGTTAGAATTCCTAAATTTTTTTGTAGTGTCTAGTTTTCTGACAAAATTCTTAATCCTGTCATTTTTTTTTTTTTTTTTTTTTGAGCTTAGGCAGCATATTTCTTTTGAATTCTCTTTTTCTTATCTGGATTCACTGAGGATCTGTTTCTGCTATTTATTGCTTATTTTGTTAATTTATCAAAAGTGATCAAGTGAATTTATCACTTCATGTGTTTATTTCTCTGTAATTGAGTGTTGTATATTAGCTTTTAAGATTAGTAGAAATAGTTTGAGGCTTAAGATACAATTATCTTTATTCAGAGAAGATTTGCCTTGGCATCTAGTAGGCAGATAAAAATTCTAGCAATCTTAGATCATTTAAATACATTTATTTCATTTTTAGGTGGATTCCACTGGGAGAAAAGAGGATCTAAATGCCAGGCTCACCCCTCACATTCTATTCAACTGCACAGGATAGAATGATGTAAGTGCTTCAGAATGATGCGATTGCTGTGAATCCAAAATCTCTCATATAATGTTGGTCAAACGTATAACTGTCTTAGCCACTCTAGGTTTTCTCCTTCTCCTCTAGATCTTTGCCCTAAAATTCATGACTGCTTTGCTAGCTCTTTGAGATCTTCAACAGATTAAAAGAAAAATTGTTTAGCCCCAAATTTTCTGGCTCTTCTTAAGAGTTAATACAAGTTACCTGATATGCTTTTACTGAAATCAGAATCTGTATTTTTGTAACAGTAATGTCTATAAATGAGGCAGAATTTTATATTATAAATTTATAACACACAGATGTTTAATAACAAGGAAACACTAATAGATTGATATTAAAAACTATTAAAGTAAACGTTGACAATGTTTTGGAAAAGGCTGTTTTTCCATTTATCTGTATACTTTGAGGTACTGTAGAATAACAATTAAGAAGTTGGGCTCTGGATCATATTTTCTGGATTCAAATCTTACACCTGCAACTCACTAGTTTTTGTGACCTCAAGCATGTAATTTAACTTATTTAGACTTCACTTTCTTCATTTGTGAAATGGCGATAATAAATGTTTTTACTTCAAGGTTTGCTTGGGTGATAAATCAAATAATTAATTAAAAGCACTTACAATGATTCCTGCATTTATCCAACATGATAAAGCGTTAAATATTATTATTACAGTCTGTAATGTATTATTATTATACATCAAAAATTAGTAGATAATTTTGTAATGTATTGTTATATTGACTTCTTTCTATAATTATTATTTAATTAGTAAACAGATCGTGGTTATTGAACGGAGAAAATGATCATTCAATGATAATATCCAATTGAATGGGATGGGAACGTGTATTAGTTTTTGGAATTGTGGCATATTCATATCTCATATAATGCCATTCAAATTTGTAAATTACTCTCTAAGCCACTTGATTCAAGTCAGTGTACTTGGCAACTGGGTGGTTTCTATGTCTTCCGTATAGCCAAACTAATAAGTGATGATCCTGAGGAACTTCTTGTCAATTTACTTGTAAATCTTACTTATTTCTAATAGCGAGGGTTTACTTGTGAGATTTATCTTCTATGCATAGAATATAATACAATTTACACTAACTTGAATTTTTCACATGTTAAATTGCAGATGATATTATCCTTGCCTGCTAATTTACTTGGGTCCTAGACTAGTAACCTATCTCAGACTCATGTCTCTGAGACCAGTGTATTGTTTATCTTCTCATCTGATCACTGGTTACTTTTGCAGCAAGATTATTGAGTTAGCTAAGGCATGGCTCCTTAGGCAACAACACAAGCATGATTTAGAGGTCATCATTTCTAAAAACGACTGTGTACGTGCAAAGAAGGAAATGTCAAGTCCCCCAAATTTCTCTCTTGCCAGAAATAAATAGATAAAAACCTTCATTCCATTCTATTTATTTAATTTAGTAATGAAAATATTGTGCTTATATACCACTTACACTCTCCAGAGTTCTTAGAAATCTTGTTTATGCTAACTTTGGGGACAAAAGAAGAACAATGGGAAGTGTACACGAAACTAGTCGATATTAAATGCATTATTGCTATTCTTAAATTAATGCATCTTTGTTTCACTTTCCTAATTTGCAAAATAGAGAGAGAATGACGTTTGCTTCAAGTTACTTTCTAGCTCCAAACTTTAATAATTTAAAAACCTCCATTCTTGAAGGCTAAATTCTACTTAGCATCAAGAAATTGACAGTTATAGTTATCTAGATAGTTCTTCTCACTATTAACTATATCATATTTAATAATTATCAATGAGAGTAACCACCATTTTCTCAAAAATGAGTTTTACAAGCTATTCTTTGCTAACTAAGAAAATTATAAGTACACAGGATACCACTTAACACCTGTTTTGAGGGATGATCTTGCAATTTCATGGAAAGCAACAAGCTTTTGCACTGGAGCTTTTCTTTGCACTGGTACTTTTCAAATGTGGGGTCATGGGAGAGGAATCTCTGCTCCATCAGTTTTCTTGGCACATCAAGAAAAGTGTGTCTTTCTTACCATTTGTTACTTCCTGGGCCTTTGGACCACAGAGCTCCATGTCCACTGACATACATGTTGTTTTCCCCCAAGATTTCAAATGCTATTCTTTCTGTAGGTCTTAGAAATTCATTTTGCTTTCTTTCCTCTATAAAATTGCCATGACTCACTGTGTACCTAGAGAATCCCTCCTTCACAACTCTGTCTAATAAGTGGAATGCAATCATTCTTCAGAGTAATCATTTATTTATTCACTCATTTATTTTCCTGTTCAACTTACAACTTACCTCTTTAAATTCTTTTGAGTGACTTGCTCTCTCACTATACTCTAGTTAAACTGACTTCTGTTCGGTACTTCAGACATGCCATGATTTTTTTCACCTTGAAATGATCGCATGCACTGTCCCGTCAGTCTGGACTGCTCTTCTCTTCTGCCTTCCGCTGTTCAAGGCTGGCTCCTTCTCATCTTAAATGCTGCATTCTCAGAGGGGGCTTCTTTAAGCATCTTATGCAGCTGAGTTTATCTCTTTGCCTGCCACAAGTTGGGCTTTCTGTATATTTTTAACTTTCTGGTAGAATCCTATCAGTTCATGAGCAGAAGACCTACCAAGTTGGTATCGAATACTTAAGCACTCATTCAAGGAAACAGGGTCAGTCTGTCTGATTTACTCCCAAGCCTCTGAAGTCATCACATGAACAATGTTCCAAGAAGTCATCATCTGTTCCCTTAAAGCCCTGGCAGGGATCTTCGTGATTGTACATAGTTTGGTCTTTTCTCTCTTTCTCTCTTCAGTGACTTTGACCTCTCTATCCTTCTTTTCCAAAATCAACTTCATTAGCTTTAGGAGAATGGTAGATGTCTTAATCAGCTTGTGCTTCCCTAACAAAATACTACAGACAGGGTGGCTTAAACAACAGACATTTTTTTCTCATAGTTCTGTAGGCTAGAAAGTCCAAGATCAAGGTGCTGGCAGATTTGGTCCTTGTATAGGGCCCTCTTCCTGGCTTGCAGATGGCTGCCTTCTTACTATGTCCTCATGCAATTAAAACAGGAAACTTTGGTGTCTCTTTCTCTTCTTATGAGGACACTAATATCACAGTGCTCCATCCTCATGACCTCATCTAATTCTGATTACCTCCCAAAGGCCTCAGCTTTTAATGCCATTACATTGGACATTAAGACTTCAACATATGAATTTTGGGGAGACACAAACTGTATTAGTCCATTTTGTGCTGCTAGAACAGAATACATTTATAATGAACAGAAATGTATTGGCTCACAGTTCCAAAGGTTGAGAAGTCCCAGATCAAGAGGCTAGAATCTTGAAAAGGCCTTCTTGCTGCATCATGTCATGGTAGATGGTGAGAAGGTAAGAAAGGATGAGAGAGAATGAGAGAGAGAGAGAAGGGGACCAAAATCCCCTTTTTATAACATATCCACTCTTGCAATAACAACATTAATTCATTCATGAGGACACCACCGTTATGGCCTAATTACCTCTCAGTAGGCCTCACCTCATTGTTGCATTGGGGATTAAGTTTCCAACACACTTTTGGAAGATATATTCAAACCATAGCACAGACATTTAGTTTATAACAGTAGGCTTCCTTTGTTATTCCTGCAGCTTGTGCCTGCCTTCAAAGATGTTAACTATGGCCTCAACAACAACTTTTGTCAGTTGAACCTGGTTACCATTTCTGCTATCTTTAATCGCTTTTTGGACATCGTTTTAGAGCAAAGTTTATAACCATGACATATATGTGGAGAATTTATTTTCCTTTCCTTCTGATATATCTTTAAACATTTTATTCCTACAGCTCTCTCATGATATTTCTTATATCTTTTCATGTAGAGGCATTTTTGGCACATTGCAGTCCCTAGGACAGAGAGGAAAAGGTGCTTTCTTTTTCATATCAGCTATCAGTCTTCTAAGCATCTCAATGACCTATTCTAATCAAGGCTGAAAAGTGTCTCCCTGGGACAGGTCCAGAATTCCCTGTATTTTTGTGCCTTCTGAGTTTCCCCAAGTAGCTGGATAGCATACATTGTTCTGCCCATTCTATTAGATGAGCCTGCTTCTTTTATGGCATGCCCAAACACTTTAGGGAGGGATGTCAGAATGTAAGACTTCGGCCACTTTTATACATTTTTTTCTCCTTATTTCTATAGGTAGAGGCTCAATTTTTTAAAGAAAAATCAGTTTCTGAGTTTGTGTTTAAATGTCACTTTCTAGACATCCCTCTCTCACAAGAGCTCCCTGGAAACTGCAGAGGAATCACCATCTTCAGCAAGCTTTATCAAGAATGCATTCATGAGATTCCCACTTTAAACATCCAGCCAAGCACTTTTATGTCTGTCACAGAGGCTTTAAAGGAGAGGCTGGAGAGTTCTCATTTTCAGCACCATCTCAGCTGTCGGTATTTCCCAAACCTGCACTGATGTCTGAGAATCCACATCAAAACTTTTGCATTTGTCCTCAAAGAATGTCACAACTATTATTCTGAAATGCTCATTGCATCTATTTCTAGGGATGGTAATGATGACTCTGTACGGACTAAGATAGGATTAATAACAATGCAGAGTTGAACTCAATTATCAAGCTCTGGATATTTAATTGTCTTATTGAGAAAATCTGAAATTGGAGGGGCATAAAAACATGAAACTCTTTTACTTTTTTTCTCCTTGTCACCCTTTAATGAGATTTATGGGAGACTTAAAACTTTCCTGTCACTTTTGTATTGAAAAAAGTCCAGTCTGGCCTAGATTAGTTTAGAATTTCAGTTTCATTTTTTATCTAAAACTCCTTTTTTTTTTTTTTTTTTTTTTTTTAAGATGGAGTCTTGCTCTGTCACCTAGGCTGCAGTACAGTGGTGCAATCATGGCTCACTGCAGCCTCAACCTCCTGGGCTCAAGCAGTCTTCCTGCTTCAGCCTCCCAAGTAGCTGGAACTACAGGCATTTGCCATCATAACCAGCTAATTTGTTTTTTTGTAGAGATGGTGTCTTGCTATATTCCCCATGCTTGTCTGAAACTCCTGGTCTTAAGCAATTTTCCCACCTCAGCCTCCCAAAGTGCTGGGACTACAGGCATGAGCCACCATGCCTAGCCTCTTGTCTAAAACTCTTATCCTTCCCTCACTGATCAGCCTTGAATTGTATGTGGAGGTAAAGATGTTCCTAGATTTATCAAAATAACAAAACAAAAACAAAAATAAAAATTGCCCATTTAAATTTGAATTTCAGATAAACAACATTTTTTTTAGTATAAGTATACTCCAAATAGTGCCTGTAGCATACTTTAAATTTTTTTGTTTGAGTATCTGAAATTCAAATTTAATGGGTCATCTTGTATTTCCTTTGGTAACATATTCTATTATTATAGCCTCTGGATCCTCTGGGGTCTTTGGTGGGTGGTGGTGAAAATAAATGTGTATCTTTTGTGTAACTGAGCACAAGATTATAAACAATTCCTTCTTCATTGTTTCTCAGGGTTCTGCTGTGTTGCCCTGAGTCACCGATTTGCTACAAATATTTGAGCCTCAGGCTTCTGTTGGCCTGGAAACTTAAATACTTGATGAATCAGAGGAAACTTCAGGATAACTGGGTCCAGGATTTCTGGGACAGTCTCTTTTCTTACGTGAAAACATTCAGAGATGTTCTTTAAAATAATATTGGCCAATATTGTTAAGAAAACTACACATTTGCATGTTAATATTAATTTTATTTTTAATCACGTGATGAATAATTAAATCTTGAAATCACTTTTGGACTACTGACAATTTTATTATCAAAACACTTGAATGAGCTGATGGTGCTTGTAATTTTAAATGAAGCCAGCACCTGAAGGCCTCAGATAAAATCTGTATTTCTTCACTCTGTCAAATGATGGGTAGTATACCAAAGTCACAAAGACATTTTTCTGAGTCCAGAAATAAGATATTCTTCATCACATTGATTTCTGGTGCTGCTTATTTTGCACTTTTGAACTTGTAATTTAAATAGTTATCACATGTACAGATACATACAGAGGTATGCTATATATATAAAATGCATATAAAATATTCCTATTTTTTGAGGCATTTTAACAAACACAAACAAAGACCAAGACAATATCATCTCTCTACCAACAGTGAATGGGCTTTCCCTGTAACCGGACATACTGGTGTTCAGATATTTAAAATAGGGTTTAATGTTAGATTGTTAATACTTCAACTGGGATTTGAAATACAGATGCATATGAGATGGATTCCTTATGACCTGCCTACCAGGTTGAGCTCAGATGGTTTTTTGGTTATTGTTGTTGTTGCCATGGGAAGGGTACAATGGTAGGATGAAATCATCAGGGAGATAAATTGATATACAGATGAAGCTTGGGCCATGTAATAATAACTAAGTACCTATGATATAGAGTTGTTTCAACTAAATAAGTTTGAATATATTAAAACACTTTGGAGAATGTTAACTATTATAGCCAAACATAATTATTTCATGTTTTACAATTCTGTTTCTCTCTATTTTAATATAAATATTGACCTAATAATCTGTGCATGGCAGGAATTCTTATTTTAAAAATTTGCAAAGATTTAAGGGGACTTTCTAAAAAGTTCTTGGAAGCCTTATGGGTCTAATTATGCCCACTGAATAGAATGCAATTTTCTAAAAATTTTCTTTGGAGCAATGCAGATTTTAGTGAATAATATGTTTTAGTGAAAAGTTTGAAGATTTTTTTATTGAGAAACAATATTACAAATTAATTAAAACATATTCCTGGGCACCCTTAAATAAATATAGTGGAATAAAGTACAAGATAAAAATCTACTTAAACACATAATTAGCTTGGCTAATCTTTCTTCTCCCTATTCTTTCTTCTCCCTATTCTTTCCTTCCTAATTGTTATAATATTGACAATGTTATTTTTTCATAGATTTCTATTAAAGATTTTTTTCCCATATTGTAGAGATAATGGTCACAGATGTTAGTAGTTCCTGATTCCTTATCTCTCCAAACTTTACCTTGATATTGTGAATAAATTTCACAGAATTAATTTCAGAATAAAAAGAGAAAAAACCATAATTTCTGGTCATGTTTTTATGCCTGTTTGTGGTTTGTAACCCCATAAGTTGTCAAACTTTGTGTTCAGTTTACAGATTTTGAATACAAATAAAAAATTACACATACTGTATGATTTTTAGTTCTGTGACTTATAATTGATACACATTCAAGTGTTGGTGGATATATATAAGTATATAATAAGTAAATATATATGTGTGTGTTTAGGTACATTTTAAAAACATAGAACCGTAAGACTAGATTTCTATTTTACTCATGATGTCATATCTCAGTGGTAACAGTAAGATGTAGTTTATAGACAAGGTATTTTATATATGATTATTTGAATTGTGAAGAAATAATCCCTTTTTTGAAAAAAATTGGGGTCTCACACCTGTGAATACTTTGTAAACCATAAAAAACATAACATCCAAAGTTGGTCTGACAGCTGAAGATCAAGGGCACATATCAAACTAAAAAACAGACATAACATCTGATTTTTCATTCTAGCAAGACATAGCTCATATTTCAGTTTATGTCTTTTCTAATTGATTCAGCAGGCCTGACATTGAACTGCACATAATATAACCAGTTTGATGAGGTGCAACCTATCCTAAGGTTACCAGGTAACTTAAAAAAAATTACACATATGTTCCTAAGTCTAGGGCTTCAAAATTGGACACAGTTACTTGCAAATATATTTGAAAATAAAGTCTTCAATTGCTGTGCAATTTTAAGAGTTACTCTGCTGAAAGGGATGTTCTTTGGAATAAACAGCATACTAGAGATAGAATCAAAGTATGTTCATATTAGGAAATATTGTATTATAGTACAGAAATTATTTTTGCATTTCATTAATGAAACAAAAATTTGTTTACTTTAAAATAGGGAGGTGAGCTAGATAATTGTGTCATTTCCTTTCTAGCTTTAAAAGTCTGTAAGTAAATAATAAAGGTCAATATCATAAGAAAAAAACAGTAAAGCCAAATGGAGATTTTCTTCTTATACTCTACTACTTGGATCTTTGCTCTGCCTTTTCCTTTCAAATGATGTTTTCCTTAATATATCTTAACAGGAATAATCAAGCTTTTGTGAAGCAAAGAACTGAGTGATGAGATAAATAAGGACAAATCCAGAAAGGTAGCTGATGTGTTTATAGTCATGCCATCTTTGTTCATTTTACTTTGAAAATGGATTTATTTGTATGTTGCTAGCAAATTTCTTAGCAAGGCAGCCTCTGAATCTACTTTAAAGTTGTTGGAAGGGAGGAGCATAAAATAATCTGATTTCCATTCTCTCTGATATTTTCCTTTCCATTACAAAAAGCCATTTGAAAAAAAAAAAAGTTTAGAAGCTGTTACTTTTGACAGCCACTGCAGAAAGTAGCTACCATTTCTGTACCTCACACAGCTGTCAGGCATGAGAACCCAGGAGCATCTACTTGAAAAATCCCTAGTGTTATCTAAAATGAATTATTTCTAATAAGTCATTATTTGCCTCTGGCATCCTGGTCTTCAGTGTTGAATGTCTCTCCTGTCTGAATATGTTTTCTACAACTATTGATAATCAGAGCCGATGTGGACAGAGATCACTGTAAAGAAATATACTCTTCAGAAAAACTGTGCCAATGTTCATGCTTGGAAAATGGGTGTGATTTACTAAGATGATATGTTTGTGTTTGCTTTTTGATATGTCCCCTAGTTCTCTTTGCATTTATAAGTTGAGAGTAGAAAAACAGAGGTTCAGAAGCAAAGGAGAGCGGGAGAAGCTGGCAAGAATATTTACATCCGAATAATATAACAAACTACCCTAAAATACCACCATCCTTACCTCTCCCTCTCTGAAAATATATTTAATTTTTATAATTACTTTAATGAATTAATTTTTTTAAAAGCACCCAATTGAAAATTTATGTGCAATATTTATATTTTATCAGTTTTTCTCTGAAAGCTTTCTTAATAGAGAAATTATTTTCCTATAATGATCAAGACAATATTCATTACAGAAACATTCTAAGTAGAATAAATTATAAAACTGCTCAGAGTAGCACAGCTTATAATATAATTCCATCAGCAGTGTAGCACTATAGTATGGATTTTCAATAGTGAACTATGAATGCCATAGATATTTAATATAGAATATGATGACTAAATGAATTATTATTATTAATAATTTCTAATCATTAAAAATTGTATGAAATATTTAGAAATTTTTGGTAGAATTTAGAAACAAGTCAGGATTGTGTGAATCCATCCATTTTGCAGATGAGAAAATTGAGACCTAAATAAGATAAATCATTTGTTTATTGTCCCATTAATACCTGGTACAGTATAGACATGCAGGACCATTCTTAATTTACCAGACTCACTCCCAAGTGTAAGAATGCTTTTAGAATACAAGACTGTCATATTAATATGTATCATGTGTAAATCTCATATCAGAAAAATTTTACATAACTTCATACTGAAAAACCTGTGTAATATTTCATAGTCACTTTGATGTAACATAAGTAAAATATCTTATGATTCTAATAACGGTTTTGATTCATGGCACAATACTTTCTAAATACCAAGGTGATTTATTATTTGAACATTGTGGGTTCTTTGTGTAATTGTATACTCCAGTTCTTAGACATACAGCATACAATTTATTAATGGATAGAAGGTTTTGCTTTTGAACTTCAGACCTGTTAAATGGAGGAAAAGCAGTAGTTTGAATCTTTGGAATTTACATCACAATAGTGCAATATTTAGTATGTTAAAAATTTGAATTTCATAATCAAATTTTTCTTATAGTTTTGTTTGATCATTGATGATCTATTATCATTCTTTGGGACATGTTGGCAAAGATGCGGTCTTCTTCACGTAGATGTCCTTAGAAGGTTACAATTTATAATACATTGGAACTTTGTATGGAACAACAACAGAGACTTCAGGTAAAGTTGCTACTTCCTAAGAATTCAGAATCCAAAAGAGAGAATAACAGATGTATTCCTAAGCATACTTCTCTATACAAAGAAAAGAAATGAAGAATATTAAGAGGTCAGGGTATATACAGATAAGATAGAAGTTGAAAAGAGATGGAGTCAACCTGAAAAAGCTCAGAAAATAGGTATACGTGAAACATTTAGACATAAGATACAATATGCTTTCCTGGAAATTGGTCCAGAAGTAAGAAGTAGCACTGGGATTTAAAGGTCACTCTGAAGCAAGGAAAGCATATTGCTAGAGAGAGTAGTGAGAAATGAGACTGATGATGTAGAACTGTATAGGAAGAGAATTAGACATTAAAGACGTGTATGCACATGACTTCTAACTGTATACAGTCCACACTGTATGAAACAGAGAACTGTGGGCAAGAGCATGACCCTGGAAGCTCAGCTCTATATTTAAAAGTTCTCTCTAATTGTAAAATGTGGAAAATAATTCTACTTGCCAAATGTTTAGCACTTACTAAATTCATATTTTGTGCCAGGAACAAAGCACTTTACATATATAAATTCATTAGACATCAGGGTAACCCATTGGAGTAAGTTTTAATGCTTTTGTTATGAGGATTAAATGGACAAATAAATGCCAAGAACTTAAGTGAACTTCAAAAGTTAGCAATTAGGATGATCATAATGAAATGCTCTTCAAATGAAAATAAACATAAGTTTAATCAAATCTAGTTATACCATTATTGGTAGTGATATCACCAATGTCAAGAGAGTAAATGAACCATTACAGCTGAAGCTATTTGTGAATTCAAGCTTCATTTTAGTATCTGGAGATCAGAATAAATCATCTTGTAAGTGTTCTGATGCTTCACATTTGTAGATCAACTATTTTTATTTGTTCATTGTCTTTCAGGAGGTGCCTATTTTCACTGCACATAAACATGCCTTGAAAATGGGTTTTTAATGAACACATGTTTGGTTTTGGCTTCCTGTTTCTGTTTAAAATAAATGTAATATAACAAAATCAATTGAGTGCAGCAAAATTTCAGATTCCGGTTGAATTTAGTTAAATTTCCACCCCTTGTCTACAGCAGTTTTGAATGTTTTTCTCACGTGCCAAGGGTTACCCAAAATTTCAGCCTTCTTAACAGAGCTTTGTAGAAATAGTTGGGCCCAAGTTTCTTCAACATGTTGGAGCAGGCACTGCTTCTAAGAGACTAGAAGTTAATGACTTTAGCCAAAGCTGAAACTTGCCTTCATGTCTCCCTCCCTGATCTGTGACATAGAGCAATTAGAGTTAAATAAGATTGGTATATTGACACCTATAACATGCAAAACTGGTGCCTGTATCAATTGCAACTAAAGAAAAGAGCAAAAGACTGATGCCTCCTGATTATTCACCCTAGGTAATGAGGAAACAGAACTGTATTTTTTATTAGATTTTGTGGGTTTTGATTTAAATATAATGTAACCTTAAAAGTTACTAGCTTTTCCTAGTTTTCAAGTATTTTATTTGTATATTTTAATTTAGTCATTTAAAATCATTTTTAATCACCAAAGCAATATGAAGTACGTGATGAAGTCATATGTCAACTAGGCACATGATCACGATTCTTAAGAACCTACGGTTGGGCAAACATTAGGGATATATTTTCAATGTATTTTTTTAAAAGAATAGAATGACATAAGTCCTCAACTACAAAATATTCTTGAATATCATTAGGAATTATTTATGCAATACATTCACCTCAACATGGTGGTATTTTGTCTGTTACAATTAGGTTGCAATTTTTAGACATAATTGTTAAAGATAATATGCTAAACTGAAGAGCATATTGCAAAACTGGAGAGTTGAGCTCTGATGCTTTTCAGATAGGCTAAAAAACAAAAAAGGTGGGAATAAATTTTGAAAAATATTTGTGAGACTAAAATAATGATTGCAATAAAAATGCAGGAATAAAATATAGACTGTGTTCCTGTAAACTGGTAAACCTCCTTGGCTGAGCTCCAGGTAATGTCCTTTCTGTGTGAGCATTTGTTGTTTAGGAAGATGCAATATGCACATTGAGATGTCAGGAAAACGAGCCCCTCTAGAATCTGTTGACAGCAATTCAACCCTAACTCTGAGAGCACATATGCGATCTGATATTACTCATCCAGAAGACTTTTTTTTTCATACTCAGGATGTTTTCTCCATTTTTATTTTTAATTTATTTCTTACTACAGATAATTTGTATTGACTCATTTTTTCCCTCCATTCTCCTTTTGTTTTCAATGTTTATTTCTTTTGAGCATGGCTGTCTGCTTTATTACTTAGTCAGCTTTATAAATCAGATTCTTCTCTGGTCTGACTTAAATCTCATGTGAATATCCTGATTATTCTTATACCATCCTTTATCAGCAGAAGTGATGACTGCCTTTTACAACAACACAGAGGATGTTTTGTTGCAAAGCTACATCTGGAATTCACACATATTTAAGAAACATAAAAAGAAACCATTTATCTTTATTGGAATTTGTATGGAGTAGAAATACATTGATATATATTTCAACTACTAATTTTTCTCTGGGGATGCCAGAAAATAATGCAGTTTTAGGTTTCAAGACTTTAAAAATGGTGTCAGATTTTCCACAGTTGAAGAGGCAGTATAACAGAATGCTGAGAACATAGACTTTGGAGAGAGACATCTTTAAGTCCAAGTCACTTCTCATGGGACTTACTCACCATCTTCAGATTTCCTTAAACTCCTTGAGACTCTGTTCCCTCATTTGTAAAATAGGGATTATAGTATGTACTTCACAGGATTACCATGAACATTAAGTGGAATCATGTGTGATTAGCAAAGTAAAACATCAACAGTGGAAGACGACTATTATAAAGAGGGTGGACATTTTATCAAATGGCAATAAGGAGTTTGAAGCTGTTCCCATTATATCATATATTCCAGTCATACTTGCTCTTGCCACATGAAATGTGAGGGGTAAAGTAAATGAGCCAGGAATGTGTAAAAATTATTAGACAGGAAGCCCCATCAACAACCTGGTCCTGACAATGGAGAACAGTAGAGGGGAGCATGCTGTTCAAAGGATGGTATTAGGGGTTTACAGTGAATGAGGGGCTCTGGTCTGGCTCTCCCTCATTTGAAAGAAAATGAAAGCATCAATTTCAACAAAGGCACCAAAATATCTTATATCTCCTTGGCATTGTTCTAGGCAAAGGAGATGCAGTAATGAAGAAAAGAGACAAAATTTTCTGATTTCTTAGAGTTTATAAATGCATGGGAAACACAGGCAATAGAAAAGAAAAACAGGTAATTTATAACATATGATAGAAAAGGAATAAGTGCTCTGGAGAAAAATCAACCAGAAAGTAATTGAGAATGTTGTGAGGAGCAAAGGGCTATTTTATCCTGGATGGGCAGGGAAGGCGTCAGTGTTCATGATTTGGAAGAGGTAGGAAGCCAGCAGATTTGTGGGACTAAAATGTTCCAAACAGAAAGAAGAGCAAGGGTAAATGCATTTAGGCAGGAAGAAAGATGGCATTCCCTCAAGAACAGCACAAAAGGCACTATGGGGAGTGGACTGAGGAGTTGGGGGGGAGCAGCAACTATCAAAGAACTGAGGGAGCTTGCAGGCCATTATAAGGACTTTTGCTTTCCCTTAGGCTGAGTTGGTAAGCCAGAGGAGAGACCTGATAAGACTTACTCTAGAGCAACATTCACTCTGGCTTCTGTGTTGCAAGTTCTCAGTGATCTGTAAAGGAGATTAGGAAGATAGTTTGTTTAAAATCTTAACATGTGAAATGGTAAAATAAATGGTAAGAATAGTAACATATTTATTCAAACTTTTACTATATACCAAATATAGATCTATCTTGTATAGATTTAATATTATATAATCTCATTAAATTCCTCTAATAATATGACATATAGTACATATATTATCCTTATCTTATGGGTAGGAAAAAGAGTTTACAGAGTTAAGGAACTTTTCTAAGATCACAGAGCTAGTGAGTTGCATTGAGAAGATCTGGTTCTAGAGTTCAGACTCTAATATGTCTTCCCCTACAGGACATTAAATGAGATCTAACTATTTTATACCTATGTGTGTATATAAATTTTTTTTAATTCAGTTCTTTCCACTATGCAGTTTAATTATAGTGTTTAATCAAATACATTGCCTTTTGTATTAATGACCATGAGTGAATGAAAATATCTCCACAGATCCACATACTGTATTTTGTAGCAGGGACTGAAGGTCACCAGTTTTCTGTAAATCATATCAAATATTATTTAAATTAGCAAATGAATTATCAGCTATGGTAGAGTATTTAAAACACTGATTCATAAATGTAGGCTCTGTATATTTTGACAGTGTTTAGTCGGTATAGATGAATGGTAAATATGCTTTTTAAATGTGCACTATATTCCTTATTTCATTTTGATTCATGGTTTGGAATCCTGATTAAGTCTCTCCAGGAAAACAACAGATTTTAAAGCAGATTAGAGTGAATAGATATTTGCTTTAAATCTAAACCCTCTTTGAAATGTCTTTCGCTCGGGTTTCACTGATATGGTTAAAGTTCAAAGCGCAGTGATTGTTTTCAAAACTAAACATTCTTCAAGAGCCCTAAAAAACTAGTTTAAAATGTTAGTGGACATATGCACATAGTAAAAAACCACAGCTTTAAGTAAGTAGAAGACACATCTCACTTCGCATTTCATATAGAGAGGCTCATCTTAGTTTATTATAGACTCAATAATACCACCCTAAAGATGTCCATATCCTAATCCCTCAAACCTGTGAGCATGTTACCTTGTATTGCAAAAACAACTTTACAGATGTGGTCAAATTAAGAATATTGAGATGGAGAGATTATCCTGGATTATCTGGGTAGGCTCAATGTAATCATAAGCATCCTTTTAAGAGAGAGGCAGAACATCAGAGAGGGAGAGAAATAGAAGATCTATCCTTCTTCTTCTTCTTCTTTTTTTTTTTTTTTTTTTTTTTGAGGCAGAGTCTCGCTCTTTCTCCCAGGCTGGAGTGCAGTGGCGCGATCTCGGCCCACTGCAAGCTCCGCCTCCTGGGTTCACGCCACTCTCCTGCCTCAGCCTGCCGAGTAGCTGGGACTACAAGCGCCCGTCACTATGCCCGGCTATTTTGTATTTTGTATTTTTAGTAGTTTCACCGTGTTAGCCAGGATGGTTTCGATCTCCTGACCTCGTGATCCACCCGCCTCGGCCTCCCAAAGTGCTGGGATTACAGGCGTGAGCCACTGCGCCCGGCCTAGGAGATCTATGCTTCTGTTGTCTCTTTTTGCAAAAATAGTCAAAGCTATTTTACTCAACTTTTCCAGTTAGGCACTGGGCTGAGTAATTTATATTCTTTACGTTATGTATTTCTCAGAGCCTTAGGAAGATGTGTTACCTCCATGTAACAGATAAGAAGACCTGGGCTGAGTGAGTGTGTGCGAGTGACTTGAGGTGGTAAAGGAGAATGTTTACGGGACCCTGGCTTCTGAGGGTGATGAAGGGTCCAGGTCTCACAAAAGAGATGCAGTCATGGTAGGGCTCTAGTCCCAGAAGAGAGAATGTGTTGAGAAATTGAGACAGAAACTTACTAACATGGACTAGGCTAGCATGTGGTGGGCTTGGAACAGTAGTAACAGGCTGGGCATGTGGGTGAGCAGGGGTATCTGAGGACCTGACCACTGGGGAAACGGTGAGAAGGCTTTCTAATCATAGCTGCTCACTGAATGAGGCTGATCATTCACTACCTGCTCTCATCATCAACCTGATGTAGCACTTGAGAGAAATAAACCCTCCAATGACAGTGAATCTAGAAATAGGGGGAGGAGTCAAGAAGATGCCACAAGGCTACAAACAAAAGGATAAGTTGTCAGTTTTTACCAAAGGTCCCCAACTTATTAGAAAGGCTACTGAATAGTTATGTAATTAGTCTAAAAACACACGGAATAAAAGGCTACTCTCTCAGAGTAAGCAAGGTATACTTTGAAAGCTTCCATGCTAAAACAAACAATTAACAAACCAAAACAAACAAAAAACCTTCCTACATATATCTCTAATTGATTTTAATTAGAAAATAATCTCTTTGAGGTTAAGGCTTATAGCAACCATTCACATTTTGCATGAAGTTCTCCAACAAAAATTGCTTTTTCTTTTTTGTTATAAGTAAAGAAAAATAAGTTATCAGTGAAGAAGGAATTATTTTGTGTCATGGGGCACTTTAGTGAAAATTGGGTACAATTAGGGAAGTGGAATAGAGCAAGATATAACAAAAATATTCAGCTAAAAAGGGAGGAGGGAAGGATGATCAAAGGATATTAACAACAAATTTTTCCTAATTTTCCATTTTAAGTGTGCCACTGAAAATTTTCTCTTTGGAAGACTTTGTATGACACAGATTGCCTGTACGTTATCTTTTAAAACAGGAAAAATGTTTTGGTTCTGTCAAATCCGTAAAATAGTTGGCTCCAATTTCTTTCTCATATTTGAAAATGTGTCATAGAAACATGAGTTATTGTAATTGGATGTTTTTCTCATGGCACTCTATCTTAGTCCATTTGGGCTGCTATAACAAAATATCATAGACTGAGTAGCTTATAAACAGCAGACATTTATTTTTCACAGTTCTGGAGGCTGAGAAGTCCAAGATCAAGGTGCAGGCATTTTTGGTGTCTGGTGAGAGCGCATTTCCTCATTCATAGGTGGCACCTTCTTGCTGTGTCCTCACATGGTGGAAAAGGCAAGGCAGCTTCCTGGGGCCTCTTTTATAAGAACACGAATCCCATTGAGCCCTCATGATTTATTCACCTCTCTGAGGCCCCACCTTTTAATACTGTCACATAGTGATTAGTCTTTCAACATATGAATTTTAGGAGGATATATACTTCAGAACACAGCATACTCTCGATTAAAATGACCATAAAACACTCAGCCATGCACATCTATTTTTTTAGTGGCTCCTTTCTGTTGCTCCCTCCCTACCTATATATCTTATTTTCTCTCTTCCTTCCTTCTCTGCCTCCTTACCTTCTGATCTGGTCAGGCTTTGTGTCCTCACCCAAATCTCATCTTGAATTTTAATCCCTAGGTGTTGAGGGAGAGACCTGGTGGGGGGAGATCAGATCATGGGGCAGTTTCCCCCGTGCTGTTCTGATGGTTTTATGAGTGTTTGGCAGTTCCTCTCTTGTTTGCTTCTTCTTCTCCTGCCACCCTGTGAAGAGGTACCTTCTGCCATGATTGTAAGTCTCCTGAGGCCTTCCCAGTCATGTGGAACTGTAAGTCAATTAAATCTCTTTTCTTTATAAATTACCCCCTCTCAGGCAGTTCTTTATAGCAGTGTGAGATCGGGCTAATACACCTTCCTTCTTTCCTTTTCTTAACTGGAGGACATTACCTTAGGTGAAACAAATCGGAAACAGAAAGTCAAATACTGCATGTTCTTACATATAAGTGGGGGCTAAATAATGTGTACACATGGACATGCAGTGTGAAATAACAGACATTGGAGCTTGGAAGGGCAGGGAAGGGAGAGGGGGTGAGGGTAAGAAGGTACTCTAAGGATGCAATGTACACTATTCAGGTGACAGTCAACACTAAAAGCCCAGACTTCAACACTGTATAATATATCCATGTAACAAAACTGTACTTGTACCCCTTACATTTATAACTCTTTTAAAAATGGAAACCAGTGTTGTCTCAGTTTCCTAGGAAAAGATATGTGATACTAATAGGTACAAGATGAACCCTTATTCCATTGTTGAATATGAAGACTTCAAAGCAAAAACTGGTCCAATTTACTACTATTCTTGTCAAGAAATAGAAGTCACAAAAATTTGGTCAAATATCTAGCTATGATAAATGCACTGAATGTTGCAGCTGGGCATTCAAATGAAATGGCTGCACTCTCACTTGACACTAGTGGAAGGAAAAGGCCTCACTGCCAAATTCAAAACTTGCTTTTAACATGGAGGTTTGAAAAATTAAATTATTGCCTGTCGTGCTGTATTTGAGGGTGTAATCACCAAGCATTGCATAACTACCTGCTGTACTTCAAAACTGTACCCATGTGCTCTCTGAGTCAGCTTTACTTATCATCTGCCCTCTCCCTCTCAGCCTTCTCATGAACAACTGTCATCTTTTTTTCTTTTCATTTCTTTTTCGAAAAAAAATGTTAGTTCCATATTCATTGACACTTTCCTACCACATGATATATGTTGTTGGCTAGCTCCAGCCTGGCTTTCCTTTTTGGTTCTTTCACAAGCTGTTGTACATTCAATCATTGTAGGGCTGCATAGGACAGACGGCTAAGTTTCAGTTTGTTCATTTATTTGGCAGAATGATCAGTTCAAAGTTTTAGAAAAAGACAGAACAAATGCACCATATTGATGTATTTTGTCATTTGAGTGGCTGCTTTAGAGGTTCTCATCTTCACCAATCACATTCATTTTTCCCATTTCTTTCAACTCAGCCCCACTCCTCCTCACCCTGACTCCCCGCACAGACATGCACAATTGATTTGACTTTCAGGGGTCATAATTATGCTTGCAGTTTTGAGGTTTCTGCTAATGGATTTTACCACTTAGCCAAAGTCTTAACATTCTTTTTCCTTCATCCTCACGTTGCATTACACCATATATTTAGATTTTTACTACAATTTCGGAAACTGATGGATACACACACATACATGCACATACAAACTGAATAAAAGTTGCACTGTGCTATTTGCTGGAGAGAATTCCATTATGACGGTTTCAACGAAGCACTGTTACTGGAAGTCACTAGTCAGGACTTTTAAACCATTTATTCTAGCATATTTTACCTTTCAATATTATTCCTTGTAGACTTTGTTCTGTTTGCTTGCTCTTTTTTTAATGTTTACTTTTCTTTTACGACTCTGCTTTCAAATTGTAAGAAAGAAGAAAAAAATAACCTGTTAATTTAAGAACTGAGAAGGAATTCCTCTTAGGTGAAATGAATATGTTTCTTGAGACCAGCACCATGGTAGACCATCCGTTTGGTTGAACAATGAATGTCTCTCAGCATAGGAATAGGCTGGGTAGGAAGTGAGGCAAAGGGAAACATATTTCTATGAATGGTCATGTGAGAAGCATTTTGAGCTTCTCTAGGCAGCCTGAGAACAAGAAAGAAGATGAAAGTAGGTGGGGAACGACAGATCTAGAAACTTAGGCAATGGTTGACATTCTATATTAAAGAAGGGTGAAGTCTCCAACGTCAGAAATGGCTAAGAGGCTTTAAAATCAGATAACTAATTCTTAATTCCAAGTTGTTCCCTATGTCACTATAATATGGAAACGGCCCTTCTCCAATTTGCTTTGCACCAAAACTTCACACTAGTCTGCTAGTCATAGATAAATATACAACTCCGAGTGGTTGCTATTTGGGGGTGTGAAATGATTGGGGGCGGTGTACAGTGGGTGAAGAGGTGAGGAAAATCAAAGGCATAAGCAAGAAGCAAGGGCAGGGTAGTGATATAAACTTCAGCAAAAGTAACATTTCAGTGCCAGTGGTGGCTGGCAGAAATTTAAGTGCCATCACTTCTCACTCTAAATCTGTAGCAAATATGAGAAGTGAGATTTGTCAGCTTTATTTAAAACGTCTCCAATACTGTGGAGTGCTTATTGCATCCAGGAGCTGATTTTTGCATTACAATATGAACTGCATTTAGAAAAGAGCTCTGAGTATATCCCATGATATCAGTTTTAAATTGTGCATTTATGTGTATTGTTAGACAAAGGAGATAAGAAGAAACAGGAGGAGGGAGGTAAAGAAGAGAAGAGGAAGAAGAAGGAAAAAGGAAGACAGGAAAAAGATGTGCCGAAGTTCTTTTCATGTGGAGAGCATGAATTTTCTGCTGCTGCCCCTCTCTCCTCCTCCCTTCCTTCTTATCCTCTCTTCTTTTCTTTATTTTCTTTTTCCCTTCTAATATGGTTTGGATTTATGTCCCCATCCAAATCTCACGTTGAATTGGAGGAGGGTCTTGGTGAGAGGTGATTGGATCATGGGGATGGATTTTCCCTGTGCTGTTCTCACGAGAGTGAGTGAGTTCTCATGAGACTTGATGGTTTAAAAGTGTGTGGCACATTCCCCCTTTGCACTCTGTCTCTTCTGCTACCATGTGAAGAAGGTCCTTGCTTCCCCTTTGCCTTCTGCCATGGTTATAAGTTTCCTGAGGTCTCCCCATCATGCTTCCTGTTAAGATTGCAGAACTGTAAGTCAATGAAGCCTCTTTTCTGCATCAATTACCCAGTCTCAGGTAGTTCTATATAGCAGTGTGAAAACAGACTAATACACCTTCTTTTATTCCTCCCTTCTTTTCTGCCCTCCTGCTCTCATTGTCTTCCTGGCAATGAAAGAGAACAGATTGCAGTAGAAATGGTATGTAACAATTTTGGAGAAAGGCAGCTTTTAATCAGCAACACCTGCATTCTCTTTGGTTTTACTAACATCATGCAGGAAATTAATTGTGAATTAATGCTCATATGAGTGTCTGAATCTTCAGTGGGATGACGTATATTTACCTACATATGGGGGGCAAGTGTAGGTTTCTTAGTGAAGAGCTCATCAGACATGGGAGAAAAGTGGGTAAGAATGAGGAAAGGGTTTAATAAAGTTTTTAGAAATACAGCATTGGTTTTCAGAGAAAAGCTGTATGGGGCAACTGGGGCAAAATAGTAAGCAATTGGTGGAAACTGGTAGTGTTCTTGTCCTTTCTCAAGGATACCAACCCTGCCTTTCAGACCATTTCCCTGTTATTTAGACTCCTATTGGTCTTCTTGTTGGCTCTTATTACAATTGAAATCAATTTATTAGTTGTGTCTTCTCTACTTCATTGTAAATTTTATGATGGTGGGGACTGTAAATTGCTTATACAGTGATAGGCACTTACACACTCTTATTAGTATTATTATTAACCTCTATATATCCCCACCTAGTATAATGCCTGGAACATGGTAAATAGTCATTAAATGTTTACCTAAAGCAGGAATAAAATGACAGATGCAGAGGGGAGACACTTAAACTGAGGAGGTCAATGAACTGACCCAGCTTGTCCAAAGTGAACATTCTCACCTAAGGGCTAATTGTCAATCAGGTATATATGACTTTGTATATCATTTATATACCTCCTAAGGATGTTCAAGTATAAGGAGAATTTACTTAGTAAAATTAATTCAAATATTTATTAACATAAACAGATTTTAAAAACAATCTAATTTTAGCAAAATTATTTTACACTTTTTAAAACTTTAAAATGTGTTTAGAGTTCTTTGTGACAACTCATGGTGAGTTAGTCATTTTAATAGACATCTTTTTAGTGAATTCTGGCCCTGAATTTCATATTGAGATTTTCATGTAACTCATAATTGAATTTAACTAGATTGGAACTAATTGCTTATTACTTGTTTTATTTAAGAGATTAAAATATATGGATTTTGTTTATGTTATGGACTAAGATTCTTGCCCACCCCCCCCAACTTCAGTAATGTTTTTCTCTTATTTGTAACTATTTCCTGTGGCAAATTCCTTTAATAATCACTTTCCCCACTGCAAAGTGTGAAGTACAAGGTCTCTAACAAATTATTCAAGTGAATGTTGACGTAAATTACACTGTAGATAGGCTGTCATTAATGGTGATGGGTGTGTCCTTTTCAGAGATTATGATTTCCTGCTTCTTAAAAGAACAAGGAGTGGAAATCCACGTGGAGACTTGCTTGTGGTTACATTTTGATGACTCAGTATCATGATTGAAATCAAGGACCACATTTTTTTGATAGGTTGAATTTCTGAAATGGAAACAGCACCATAATTATGGTATTTCAGATGTTCATATGACCTAAATTTATACATGTATTTATAATTTTCTTACATTGCTTCTATATATTTTCTCTGGAGTTTACACATTTCTATAAAAGAAACATACTACAAAAAATTAAAGATTTTAATGACCTTATTTAAGGTGTTTTGAAATTGCTTATGTATGAATGATTTTAGTTTGTCTAGGTTTAATATAACCTCAACAATCTGTTACAAAACAGCACTTTCAGCATTCTCTGATAATTGATAAAAATTTATATTACAGAAGGCTAAGTACTCCTCCCAAAATCTCTTTCCTTTTTCGTGTTGGAATTTAGGCTTAGTTGAGTGAAATAATTACAGGCAAGACTGGACACATCAAACCATTCCAAGGATTCCAATGATTCTGTTGTGCTGTGGAACGGATGATGTTCTCTGGCATTTAAGGTAGTTTGAGATGGCAGACTATTTTGTTGCATAATTCAATAGAATTTAATTCAATTCATTTTTACTGATGAAATAATTAAAACCTACAGAAAAAAAGAAAGTAACAAACACACGATGCACGATTTAGGTTTAACAGATGCTATTTTGCCATGTTCCTGGAGTTCACAGCTTATTTTTACTTTAAAGAAATAATACATTGAGGATCCCAGCAAAGCTTTATCCCTGGAACCCTCCCTTCTCTTGCCTGATAGGCAAACTACTCGCTATTCAGGAATTGGTAATAACCTAATGTTCTTTTACTAAGTATTGAATGAATTCATAAACAATATGCAAAATTGTATTGTGTACTTTTAAACTTTACTTAAATAGTATCATATCCTGTGTATCCGACTGCAATTTGCTTTTCTCACTTAACTTGATGGTTTTAAGTTGTTAATACACTTTACCAGTAGGAATACACCACAGTTTGTTCATTTCTCTGTGATGTTTCTGCATTTTTGCTGTGATAAACAACACTGCAATGAAGGATCCTTGTACTTGTCTCCATTGAGCACTTGTAAAGAAATTTATTTAACGTAGATATATGGAAGTGTAATTCCTAACTCATAGGGCAAGTGCGACTTTAACTTTTCTAGATATTTCTAAATTGCTACCTAAAGTCATTGTATAAATTTACATTTGAAGGTCAATATTTAGGTTTCCTTTCCCCATATCCTCACCCACATGTGGATGTTAATCATCCTAAATATTTGCCAACTGGAGAGAGGTGAAACCTTAACTTTTATTTCCCTGTGTAAAGTAGCTGGTTAAGATTTGTTACTATGAGACCAGAAGATAAAATTACTTCTTTTTCTTTTCTGTAAGACCTCTGGCATGAGGAATGACGTTCATTATATTCCTAGGTTTATGACACAACATTATTAGTCCAGGCACGGCCATATTTTTGCTTATCTGTTTGTTTATAAATAATGCCGTGGATACCCATGACCTCTTAAACCCCTCTCCCTTTGCATCCCTTAGCCGTAAAGTTTAGTTTGCCTTTTAGGAATTTGTGTGTGTGTGTGTGTGTGTGTGTGTGTGTGTGTGTGTGTGTGGTTTGCATTTGCTTGTTGCTAAACTTTATAAAGAGAGTATCATATTGAATTGCTTTGGGGGTTTTATTATGTTAAGATTTTCTCACGTTTTTTCAGGCAGTTGTAGTTTCGTCTTTTTCATGCTGCATTGTGTGAATAAAACACAATTCATTTAGCATTCTCCAGTTAAAGGCAATTAGGGTTGTTTATAATTTTTTGCTTTTTGATTGTTCTTGTCAACATCTCTTGGTGAACATGGATAAAGTTTTCTCTTAGTTAAATTGCTGTGAGTAGAATTGGTGGGTTTGGGGTATACAAATTTCTACTATACTGATCTTTGAAAGGTTTTGTAAGATCGCCTGTAAACCCACCCAGATCTTGTATTAATTCTGTGTGAGATTTTAGCAATACTTCAATTTCTTTACTAATGATAGTGCCATTCAGGTGTTCTATATTCTGACAAGTTAGTTTTCTTAGGTTAACTTTTAACAAAAATATGTTCATTTCACCTAGGTTTTCAATCTAATTTGAACAAAGTTATTGATAGTATTTGCTTGTTCTCTTTATAATTTCAGTTGTATCATTAGTACTGTCTCCTTTGTCATTCATAATATTATATTTGCATTTTCTGTCTCTATCTTTTTATTCATCAATATTACCAGAAGTTTGCTTTTATTTTCCTACTCTTAAAATAGCTAGAATTTGTGGAATTTTTCTACTTTATCTTCATCTATTTTGTTATCTTAATTATCTCCTTTACTTAACTTTCTTTGGCCCTATTGCTTGCTTTTAATTTTTTATGTTGGACAGTTACTCTTTAATTTTTGGTCTTTCTTCTTTTCTAATTTGAGCAGTTAAGGCTGTAAATCCCCCTCTCAATGTGGCCTAAGGTATATTCCTCACACATTTAGATATACTATTATTATTATTATTCACCTCTAAGAATTGTAACATTTCTTACCATTTATTTTTCTTTTAGACCAATGAGTTTTAATGCCGATTTTAATTTTCCTGTTTCTAACTTCTAACTTAATTGTGTTGCAGTCAAAGTACGTGAATTGTATAATAGGTCTTATCTGAAATATTTTGAGATTTCTTAAATGTCATAGGATGTAGGCAACTGTGGTAACTCTTCCATATGTGTTTGAGAGGAATGTGTTTTTTCTACCAGTGTTTTCTTTGATGAGACTATATTAGCCTGGGAAAGTGGAAGGAAACAGATGAGGAGCTATGTTAATATCTAGGTATAATGCCATATAACTTGTAATTGAATTTGTGGGTTGTACAATTTTGAGATTGATAAGGTAAACCTGACTCAGATGAGATACTGATATATGCCAGATTTGCTTACATGTAGATTGCTTTCAGATCTAGAAAGAGAATGTCATGGTAACAGAAAGCTTGGGCCACCTCACTCAGCTTTCTTGTATGTTATGGTCTGCAAGTGGTGAAAGGAAAACACCATCTGTGCTGAAGAATGTAGCTAAGATCTCTGTGGTATACCTTGACTGCATTTGCTTTCTTCTCTCTGTGCTTTAGGTAAGTAAACACTACTTGATTTTCACAAGCAGCGCCAGTCAATGTTTATTATTGACAAATGTCAACAAAGTGGTTGTGTACCTGACACACAATTTTTTCAATGCTGCTTCACCAGCCGGAATTCTCCACAGCCAGTGGCGCTTCTGCCCAGGCTTTGCTGGGGCCACTGGGCCCTGGCATCTGGACGAGAGGGAGACAGTGGCACCCCAAAACTCGGAGATGCCAGCAACTGTGGAGTTCCAAGGGGTGTTACAGCTTTTGCTCAGGGAGTCCCGAGGTCTGAGCCCCAAGGAAGTGTTACAGCTCTCTTTCATTCCTGCTGCCTGAGCTTGGTGAAGTGGGGTGTGTCACACATCTCATTTGGTCCCACTGCCTGCAGCTCAATGAATGGGGCTGTGTGGCGCCCAGCGGTTTTTTCACTCCTGTAGCTTGACGAGCAGGAGTGTATGTACACAGCACCTTTTGCACCTGCTGTTCTACGGTTTCCGGGTTCTTGTCTCATGACCGAGAGGAATGAGGTATGGTGGACATCAGAGGGTGAGCAAGGCAGAGAAGAATTTTATTGAGTGACAGAAAAGCTCTCAACAACAAGAGGGGACCCAAAGTGGGTAGCCCTCTGTGAGGATGAGTCCAGGATTTTTATGGGCTCAGAATGGGGAAGTGCATGCTGGTTGGTCCACGGGCAGGCCTGGAAAAGCAGCATTCAATTGGCTAAAAGGCATGGGGGAAGTTTTCACTCCAGTTGTGGGCTCCACCCAGAACTGGCAGCTCAGGTTCTCAGGCTTCAGGCTGTCTTTGGTTTGAAGGTTAGGTTTCATCGGGGAACTTTCCCTGTCTGCCCAGGGATGCATCTGCTCCTGTTGCTATCATACCTAAGGTCACTTTTTCATGTGTTCTGCCAATTAAGTTTTCTCTTCTTTGAATAAACTGATTAAATCCTTTGTCCTTTCTATCTTGAATTGTTTGCTTTTCTTATACATTTCCATACACACACACACACACACACATATTCTGGACTTTACAACTTTCCCTTAGATGCAAAACAAATATGGTCTCTTGGATATGGACTATTTCTATATTTATAGTAATTTTAATGTACAGAAAATTTTTAATTTAATGTCATACACTTACAAATACTTTCCTTTATAGTTTCACTTTCTTTTTTCATTTTCACAATTCTTTAAATATTCTATTCAGAGAATATTATGTGCCAGGTACTAGATCTAGGGGTACAGCAGCAAACACAATAGATGAAGTGCCTATTCCCTTCTCAGCACCGATAATAATTGATATAAAGAAAAGTAAAACAGGGTAATGATATAGCAAATAGTAAGCATTAAGTGTGGAGGTTCGTATTTTATATCTGATGGCCAAAAACAAGCCCTTTTGAGTAGAGCAGAGAACTTGTTAGGCAAGGGAGGGAGCAACCCATGTAGATATTTGTCTTGTTTAAAATTTTTTCACTGTTCTGATGACATAACATTTACTCCTAAACATTCTTGTAAAATACTTTAAAAATTAGCTTTTCATATTCAGGTCTTTAATCTGTTTAAAATATTTTTGTGTATACTTTGAGGTAAGAATCTAATCTGAACTTTTTCTATGCAGAAAGCCAACTATTTTAACACCATGGATTACATAGGCCACTCTGTCTCCACTGTTTTGTAATGCTGCCTGTTGTACACCTTTGACTTCATATATAATTGAGCCTTTTAAAGTAAGCTTTCTATTCTGTTCTATTGGTCTACTTATTTGTTTCTGTACCAGGATCACTAGTTTAATTACCATGTTTTTGCAATAAGTCTTGATTTCCAGTTGACTCTTTCCTCCTCTTACTAGTTTTTATTTTTAATTTGTGCTGATTATTCTTGGCCTTTCATCCTAAAATATATATATTTGAGTATGAACTTATCTAGTTTTATAAAAATTTTAAAAAATATTTTATTTTCACATATCAATTCATTTAATGAGGATTGCCATCTTCAAGCTATTGAGTTTTGTCATCCAGGAGAGGGCATATATCTCTATGAATTTAAGTCTGCTTATAAATCCTTCAGTGAAGATTTTAATATTTTATAAACTTTTTATTTATTTCTAGGTCATCTACATTTTTCAACTTTTAATACTTTTTAAAGGATATTTTGTATTTTTTTGCTTTTGGAAATATAAGTTTTTTTGGTATAATGATCTGATATTCAGCAACCTTACAGGGCATCCTCATTATTTTAAATATGTTTGTTGGTAGAGTCTCTTCTCTTCAACTTTCTATTTAGACAATAATACCATCTGTGAATAACAAAAACTCTTTATATACTTTTTTTACAATACTTAGCCATTTTATTTATTTTCTTTCTTTTCTGTTTTTATTGGTTAAAATTCCTTTTTGTTTTGTTTTGTTTTTTGTTTTCTTTTGAGACAGAGTCTTGTTGGAGTGCAGTGGTGGGATCTCGGCTCACTGCAACCTCCACCTCCCATGTTCAAGCAATTCTTCTGCCTCAGCCTCCCGAGTAGCTGAGATTACAGGAGTCTGCCACCATGCCCTGCTAATTTTTGTATTTTTAGTAGAGACGGGGTTTTGCCATGTTGGCCAGGCTGGTCTTTAACTCCTGACCTCAGATGATTAGCCCACCTCAGCCTCTCAAAGAGCAGAGATTACAGGCATGAGCCACCATGCCTGGCCAATTTCTAAGAAAATGTTTAATAGCATATGTTAATATATATATTTTTATATATGCATATATAATAAAATATATGCATATATAATAATATACTATAAATAAAATAAATTTATCATTTTACCATCTTTTGGTTATACAATTACACAATAAAAGGATTCTAAAAAATTGTAAATTCCATATTATGTACATTCCAGTATAGGAATTGTGAATTCTATACTTATACAAGTAAATTGCATATAAATAATACACAAAGGACTATGCTTATTTTCTATTGTTCAATTATCTTTCTATTCTAAGATATCATATTAGATTATTATGAATTTTTAAATGCATTATTAAATATGATTTGCCAATATTTTAAGTATTTTTGTTAACACTTTAGCATGCATTTATTTACATTTTAGGTAAGGCTGTACTTTCTTTTTCCATGTTTTTACTGTCTTTTTCTATTACTTGTTATCAAAATTACAATAGCTTAATAAAAAAGAATTGGGAGTTTTTCTACTTTTACTACTTTGGCAATAGTTTGCAAAAGTTAGGAATTATGTGTCCTTTAAATGTTTGTGGACATCTGCTATAAAATACCTGTCTACTTTTTGTTGATTATTTTGTTAAATGTAGCTTTTTAACGTTGATTAATTTCTAACTATTTAAAAATATATTCCAATTTTCTATTTATTTTTGAGTCATTTTGGTAGTATTGGTTTTTCTAGAAAATTGCCCATTTAATCTGGCTCTTAAAATAAATTGTTCTGAATTTGGGCCCTTTATTAAGGTTTTTAAACCTGTACTTTGTTACTGGTTATTACCTGTATTTTTTTCTTAAGATTTTCTTATGACTGTCTCTCTTTATCTTGAGCCGTCTTGCCAAAAACATGCTTAAATTTATTAGCTTTTCAGAAAAACAGTTGTCATATTTGTTATTTCTCATCATTATGTTTAAATCTATTTCTGTTATTACATTATCTACCTTTTCTCTACATTCTTGGCACTTGCCTCATTGTTTGTTACATTTTTGTGGTTATTAAAATCGGTATTCATTCACAAAGGTTAGATATCAGCATTAAAAAGAAGTATAAACTAAAAACATTTCTCCTACTTTTACACCTGTCTGCTCAATTTCTATGCAGAGATTTTACATAATTATCTTTATGCACACACACACACAATTATTGCCCTTCTTTTGTTACTTAATATCAGATATGTTATATTTTAGAAATTTACCTATACCACTACATTACGAGATTAAAACAAATTTTTAAAGCTGGTTAGTATTTCATTTTATATTTGATAATTATTTAACTATTCCCTTTTGATGGATATTGATGTTTTTTCCAAACTTTTGCTATCATAAACTCTGATGCAACGGTAATAGTTTACTGCATCTGACTTATCTTTACATATATTTTTGCTGAATCATTTGGCAACAAATTACATACACTATGACACCTCACCCATATGTATTTCACATGCATCTCTGAAAGATAATGACATTCTCCTGTGCAGTCACAATTTTATTGTCACATCTAAGAAAATTAATAATTCCATATATAAATTAAAATACAATTCTTATTCATATTTTTTCAATTTTCCAAAATATATTGTATATATGTAAAAATCTGGGGTTCAATCAAGTTTGACAAACTGCATTAGGTTGTTGTATCCCTTTAGTTATTTTGAATCTAGAACACTCTCTCTCCCTTTTTATTTTTTATTACACTGAGTTTTTGAAAATTCCAGGCCAGGCCGGGCACAGAGGCTCACACCTGTAATCCCAGCACTTTGGGAGGCCAAGGCAGGCGGATCACCTGAGGTCAGGAGTTCGAGACCAGCCTGAACAACATGGCAAAATTCCATCTCTACTAAAAATACAAAAATGAGTCGGGCATTGTGCCGGGCTCCTGTGATCCCAGCTACTCGGGAGATGGAGGTTGAAGTGAGCAGAGATCATGCCAGCCTGGGTGACAGTGAGACTCTGTCTCAAACAGAATTAAGGAAAAAAGAAAGAAAGAAAAAGAGAGAGAGGAAATTCCAGGCCAATTGTGGCATAGATTTTATCATATTCTGGATTTTTTGGATTCTTTTGTTTTCTCATCACTGGATTCAGGGTAAGCATTTTTGGCAAGCATTTTACATAAAGTATATGGCGTTATCAATATTGGTTATGTTAACTGGCAGTATTGGTGATGTTTGCTTTGGTCATTTAATTAAGGGTGACAATCAGATCTCCCTTTTACAAAGGTACGCTTTCCTTTGAAATGTATAAGTGATCTTTGGATGAATAATTCAAAAGTATGTGAAATTTTCTATTTTAATAAGATTTCACTCAGAGGTTTCCACACTCATTATGATGCTTGTCTGAATCAATTATTGAATAGAATTGCAAAATCATTGATTTTCTAATTCTTTCATTCCTTTTACATTTATTAGCTGTGATTCTTTAAAGAACCTCCTTTTTCTTTTTTCCCTTCTCTCTTCTGATAAAACTATACTCATCATTTAAAAAATGTATAATAATTCATTGCAATCATTGTCTTTCTTAGTGCTCAAATTATTCCAAGTTGGGCCAGAATATGCTGCTTCAAGAAAGCTTCTCCTTTTGATCAACTCTTATTTGTTAATGAGAACATTCTTGATTTTTGAAATTGCATTTCAATATGATTAAGATTGAGCATCTTTGCATATGTATAAAAGCCATATGTATTTTTTTTCTGTGAAGAATTTATTAATATCCTTTGCTGATTTTCAGTTAGGTTGCTCATCTTTTTGTTATCAATTTGTATGAACTTTGTTAAATTTAAAAGGACTAGGACTTTGGCTGTGGTTTTAAATATATCACATTTTTGTGACATTATGATTTTATGTTTTGACTTTATGATTTTTTTCTTTTTGTCAGAAAGATTTCAACAATTTATCTTGTTAAAATGATCTTTTTTTTCGTGGCTTCTAGAGTTTGTGTCAGTTAGATAAACCTTTTGCACTCTAGACTCTAAAGGAATTCTACCATGTTTTATTATAGGACTTTCTACCATGTTTTATTATAGGACTTTTGTGACTTTATTTTTACATTTATACCTTTGATCTATTATGATTTTATTTCTGTTGTATGGTATGAACAATTAGTTCAACTTTATGTTTTTCTAACAGTTTATGTAGGTTTCCCCACTTCATTTATTAAAAAATAATTTTAGCTTTTGTTTTAGATTCAGGGGGCACATGTGCATGTTTACTACATGGGTAAATTATGGGTATATTGTGATGCTGGTGTTGGGGGTATTAATGATCCTGTCACCCAGGTAGTAACTGTCACCGATAGTAGCCAATGGGTAGCTTTTCAGTCCCCATCTCCTCCGTCCCTCTTCTCTAAAGTAGTCCCCCGTACCTGTTGTTCCCATCTTTATGTCTATGTGTACTCAGTGTTTAGCTTCCACTTATAAGTGAGAACATGTGGTATTTACTTTTCTGTTTCTGCATTAATTTGCTTAAAATAATGGCCTCCAGCTGCATCCGTGTTTCTACAAAGGACATGATTTTGTTCTTTTTTATACAGCTGCGTAGTAGTCCATGGTGTATAACCAAGCCTCACATCATTTTTAAATAGTTCATATTTTTCCCTCTGGTTTGAGATGATACTTTTATCGTTAGATAAAATTCCAAATTTATTTGGGCCAATTTCTGGTCTTTAGATTCTGTTTTTAATGTACCTGCACCACCGGGTTTTAATTACTGAAAAATCGTAGTATATTTTGATGACCTTGTATTTTCTCAATCTTTGTTTTTTAGTCACGAAAAGTTAATATTTTCATATAATTGTAGAATTACTTTTCCTAGTTAAAAATGTTCTTGGCATGTTTATTTGTATTATGTTCCATTTGTAAATTAACTTAAAAAATTGACAACTTATGTTATTAGTATTCCTATCTAAAAGCATGACATATCTTTCTATCTGGTCAAGCTGTTTTTAAAAAAATATACAATTTACAGGCCAGGCACGGTGGTTCACGCCTGTAATCCAAGCACTTTGGGAGGCTGAGGCGGGCGGATCACGAGGTCAGGAGATCGAGACCATCCTGGCTAACATGGTGAAATCCCGTCTCTACTAAAAATGCAAAAAATTAGCCGGGCGTGGTGGCAGGCGCCTGTAGTCCCAGCTACTCAGGAGCCTGAGGCGGGAGAATGGCGTGAACCCAGGAGGCGGAGCTTGCAGTGAGCCGAGATCACGCCACTGCACTCCAGCCTGGGCGACAGAGCAAGACTCCGTCGCAAAAAAAAAAAAAAAAAGCATGACATATCTTTCTATCTGGTCAAGCTGTTTTTAAAAAATATACAATTTACAAATGTCTTGTTAATTTTATTCTTAGCTTTTAAATTCTTTGTTGCTATTGTAAATGGTATGACGTCTTTCAATATTTCATGTAACTTGTTTGTATATACAAAGTGTACTGATTTGGAAATTTATTTATTTGTAAACATTATCTTAAAATGGTTTAATTCATTGTAGGAGAGATTTTTGTTGTTGTTGTTGTTGAATGTTTTATTTTTTCCAGGTAATTAATCATAAAATAATGAGTTTTTGTGCTCTTTTTTTCCTTCTTCATGCCTTTTCTTGTCTAATTCTAGCAGTTAATGCATAGAAAATGATAAATGATAGAGGTGACAATATATTTCTTTATCTTATCTCTAAGATTAAGAAGAGTACTGTAATATTCCCAAATACTAGAGGATGCACAAAGCAGTTCATCCCTATTCAACTGTACCCTATCCCAGTTCATCCCAGGTGAAAGTCTTAGTAACTGCAATACAGCAGCCTGACAGCAGCTATCCATACTCTGCTGGTCACTTGAGTTGGGCTCGTTACTGCCATTTGGCAGGTGAGTCAGTAAACTACAGATTTTTTTGAGTCTGCACTCTAGACTACGTTCAATATCAACTGTCTTAATTCAAGTTCTCTAAAAAAAAAAAATACCACAAAATAAGGAAATGCTTCTATGAATACTGTGGAGGGAGTGCAGGAAGCAGAACACGGACGGGAAAGACAAAGAAAGCTAAAATTTCAGGTAAACGCCTAGCCTGATCCTGCAGCTTGGGAAAATAACTCCGGAGATTGTCTCAACTAAAGGCAAGTATGTTGGACTGTCATATTCTCAAATCAAGGAGTGATCGGTTAACATCTGTTAACATTCCATAAGGGATGTAAACTCCCAGGCATCCCTACTCTCTGCCCCCATGGGAAAAGTGGCTCCGTTAATCTAAGCGCCGTCCTCTGAGGAGAGTCGCAGGTATGCCTTTTTAAGCAAAAACAGAAGCTAAGGAACAAATACCCAGAAATAAGAAAAGTGATATGAGAAAATCTCTATAGAACATCAACTATCACCTACAATTGATAATATTTTTTTCCTATTGATTTAATATTGAGAGAAGTGTGTTGAATTTTCAACATTTGCTTATCAAATTTTCTTTGTTATTTTATTGTATGTGCTTCACATATTTTGTGCTGTGTTCTTAGATGCATAAAGATATTTTATCTGTACAATGACTCTCTTCATAATAGTTTTTGCTTCACAGTTTTTTTGTTTTAACTCCTATCTTGTAGGAATAGCAAGCACTGAATATGCAAAGAGAGTTACTAGTAAGAGAGAACATCAAAGTGGAAATAAATAGTCAATTCCTGTATCTTCTCTTAAGCCAGAGTCAGCGAACTTTTTCTGTAAAGAGGCAAATTATAAACATTTCTTATTTGGCAGGCCATTCAGTCTCTTTTGCAGTTACTCAACTCTACTGTTGTAATATGAAAGCAGCCATAGAAAATATATAAATGAGTGGGCATGGCTATGTTCTAATAAAACTTTATTTATAAAACTTCCTGTCATTAGCCCATTGCACTGACCTTGTAATGCCTTATTTGCAGTTAAGATATTGCTAAACAAAGAGTTGGCGAACTACACAGGAGCTAAGAAAAATGTTTATATTTTTAAAGGGCTGTAACACACACACACACACACACACACAAACACACAGATACACAGAACATGGACAGAGACAATGGGTAGCCTTAAAGTCTAAAATATTTACTACTTGGCCTTTTACAGGAAGTAGGCCAATGTCTGCACTAAACTCACAAAAATGAGTCTGGCAGTTTTTCCTCCTGTTTTCACTTTCTGAAATAATTTCTCTAAGGAGGAGATTATTTATTTCATAAAAATGTGGTAGGCCTTACCTGTAACACAAGTAGAACCTAGTTTTGTTTGGTTTTATTTTTTTGAGCCAGGGATATCCTTGATTAGCACCATAAATAGTTGCCATTCCATTCAGTTTTTCTGTTTTTTCTAATGACGTAATAGAATCGATTCATTTTCCAGAAATGTGTCCATTTTATTCTGAGTTTCACATTATTTTCCATATAGTAGATCACTGTACTCCTTTATTATTTAAAAATTCTCTTTAGCTCTCTAAGATATTTTCTCTTTTTTTAAACTCACATTTAATATATTTCCGAATTTTTTATTGCTTACATTTGCCAAACCTGTATCTAAATTATTATTCTTTCTAAATAATTAGATTTTCCAATTGGGAATGTTTTCTATTCCCCTTTTGTTCTTAATTTTTTTATTTCTGTAGTTATCTTTTTTTCTTCTTTGACTATATTGTTTTTACTTAAATTTTTCTGTTGAATATTGAGCTCATTTCCTCTTTTATTTTCTGATGAATGTATCTTGAAGCTTTAAGTTTTCCTTTAAGTTTTCTTTAATCTACTCTAACAAATTTGAACATATGGTTTTCATTGTTATTCAGTTTTAAGTATTTTGTGAATTTTTTCTCAGGGCCTATTTTCTAATTTAAAGATAAGTTGGTAGTATGTTTTTTTTTTTTTTTTTTTTGAGACAGAGTCCCCCTGTGTCACAATCTCAGCTCACTATAACCTCTGCCTCCCAGGCTCAAGCGATTCTCCTGCCTCAGCCTCATGCTGGGATTATAGGCATGAGCTACTGCACGCAGCTGGTAGTATGATTTTTAATTTCCAGACATATAAGATTTATTTTATTAGTTTTATAACTATTAATTTCTAATTTTGTTGCATGTTTATAGTAAGAGTGTATAGTTTACACAATGTTGATTCTTTGGAACTTACTGGGGTTTCATTTTTGTCTTCGATACGGATAGTTTTGTTAATGTTTCATATATGCTTGAAAATAATCTTTATTTTTTATTTGGTGGATGGGAAATTCTCTATAAAGTAACTCTATTGAGTTGATTAATTATGCTCTCCAAATTTTCTACAGTTTTGCTTATTTGTCTGCTTGAGCAATCTGTTTCTGAAAGAATATCACAAATTTTCAACTATTGTGCTTTTTTTTTATAATTGAGTTATGGCATAAATACAGAAAGGTATAACAATATAAATGTAGGCCAGGCGCAGTGGCTCATGCCTATAATCCCAGCACTTTGGGAGGCCGTGGCGGGTGGATCAGTTGATGTCAGGAGTTCAAAACCAGCCTGACCAACATAACAAAATCTCATCTCTACTAAAAATACAAAAATTAGCTGGGCATGGTGGCACATGCCTGTAATCCCAGCTACCCAGGAGTCTGAGGCAGGAGAATCACTTGAACCCACCAGGCAGAGGTTGCAGTGAACCGAGATTATACCACTGCACTCCAGCCTGGGCAACAGAGTGAGTGAGACTCCGTTTCAAAACAAAAATAATAAAATAAAATAAATGTAAATCTCAGTGAATTGTCAGAAAGTTAAAATATTCAGGTAATTACTACCCAGGTTATAAAATAGTACAATACCAGGACTCTAGAACTGTTTTTGTTCCCCCTCGCAATCACTAGAAATGCTTATCTCCAAAGATAACCAGAGAGTTCTCAGACTATAGAATCATTTCACTTGTTTTTAAACTTTATATAAATTGAACCATGCAGTATATGCTTTTTAATTCTGTCTTCTAACATTATGTGAGAGTCACCCATATTGTTTTTTTATATCACTATTGTTCGTCCTTTTTTTTATTGCATTGCAGTATTTCACTAAATAAATACAATGATACATATATCCGTTGTACTGTTAATGGACATTTGGGTTATTTTCAAATGAATAAAGGTACTAGGAATGTTCTCATCCAAGCTTTTTGGCATATAGATGCCCTGCATTTTTACTGGGCATATTCCCAGGAGTGGGTTTTTTTTGTTCAAAGGGTATGTGTCTGTTTAACTTTAAAAGATAACACCAAACAGCTTTCCATAATGGATGCACCAATTTGTGTCCCCCCACCAGCAGTGTAAGAATTCTGGTTGCTCCATGCTGTCAGTACTCCTGGTATTGCCAGTCTGTCTCATGTGAGCCATTCTCAGTGGGAATTGATGGCTTATTGTGGTTTCGGTTTTAATTGCCCCAATAGCTAATACTGTTGAGCAGTTTTTTACAAATGAATTGACTATTTTATTGAGCATCTGTTCAAATTTCTTGGCCATTTTTTATTGGGTTGTCTGTCATTTTCCTATTTATACAAACTTATTATTTATTCTGGATATGAGACCTTTGCAAATTGCAAATATTTTGTCCCATTTTAAGATTCACTTTTATAATCAAATAATATATTTCAATAAACTCAAAATCTTAATTTTAATGTATTACACTGTATTTTTCTCTTTTTTGTATTAGGGCTTTGTGTGTCCCTTTTAAGAAATCCCTGCTTACACAAAGTTTAGAAATATATTCTGCATTTTCCTCTAGATCAGCACCGTCCAGTAGAATTATAATGGAAGCCACAACTTTGAACCACGGATATGATTTTAATTTTTAGTAGCCATAATAATAAATAAAATAGGTAAAACTAGTATGAATAATACAAATTGTTAATAACTTTTTTGTTATTTTTCTTTAAGACTTCAAGTTCTAGTCATATTTCAAGGGCTGATAACCACATGTAACTAATTATTATCATATCAGGTGACCCATTTCTAGAAGCGTTCATGATGCACCATTCAAATTTAGCTCCATGATCCACGTGCAATTGACTTTTGTGTGTGTTATTAGGTAGCATACCTAGCAAGGAAACTAGGTAGCTTACAGAAGCAAATGAAGGTCTTCAGGATCCCGAGCCAATCTGGGTCCCTTAGGAACTAACATAGGGCATGATAGTACTAGGACTTTCTGAATATCTCTAATTTCTGCACATTCTCTGTTATTCTGTGAGGATATTTGCAACACGCCAGGGAACATGGCCACCAGTTGTTGTCAGATCACATCTTTACAATCTCCAACAACAGATGAAAAAAGCTGATTCTAATTCTGTTTAGAAATATCCCAGCTCAGGTAATATTCCAATACTCTGCAGCCAGAGCACTGGATTATTTTTGGCCAGGCCTAGATGATATGCCTGTATTTATAACCATGGGACAGAAATTGTTACTAGAAAACGGTAGCTACCAGTATACATTATTTCTATTTCTATTACGAGATGCTGTGAGGAAGCTAGGACTATTTCTTGTGCACAATAAGCAGTAAATAAGTATTTGCGAATAGCACTAGGATAGTCTCATAATTTGACAGCTATACTTAAAATAAGGCCTAATACAGGATGAAAAATATGTATTCATTTGCTTTGAACACATTTTTATGATACACAAGTATTTGAGGACCATCCAAACTCTTAGTTTACAAGCTTAGAACTGGCAATTTTAAGAGTTCAAGGCAATTCAACATTTTCTTTATAAACTGCATTTTCTACAGATTTTGGGGTGCTTAGAAGAGGTACACTGGTGCCCTTAGCAGCAATGTGCAGCTTTGCAAACATTCTGAGTGGTGGCCTCTATCTTACATGAAAGTACAATCCTTTTGGTTTTTAGTCTAACATCAGCCATTTTTCTTCATAATTAAAAAAAAAATACTGTGAGGAGGAAAATGTTATTTAATATTGAAAGAATAATCGTCCTTTATAATTCATTCAGTTTCCTATCTGAGTGGGGTCTTTGGCTCAACTTATGAGTTCAGTTATTTATAACAAAATTTAAAATTAAAGTGTGACACTGTGTTAATTAGAGAAAGTTGCTGTTCCCTGAGATTCCTAGTGTCCTACTTTTACCTCATATTTCTTCAGAGCTAATATGTTTCTCTTACTGGGAAAGAAGAGCTGCTCCTTAGGTCCATTAATCAGGAAAATTGTGTGAGTGAAAGGAGATGTAGGAGGAGGAAGAGAATTGGAAAGAAAAGAATCTCTATTTAGCTTCCTTCTTTGGGAGTTTTAGCAGGATTGCATGAGGAAAATGATCCATTTTTGTTTTTTGAAAGACATTAACAACTGAGAAAAAGTATTTATTTTGGTTTTATAAAAACTTTAACTTGGTGTAGCTGAAACCAATTATATAGAATTTAGATAGATAATTTAAAAAGGAGAAAATGTAGCCTCAATTATTTGGATGGCAAAGCATTGAGGTGGTGTCATTTTCTCAGGTGTCAACATAACAGAAAATGGTTCTGACCTTTTCCATGCTACTTTCCTAATGGCGATTTCTCATTTCTTTCTTTGATCATCCTCACCATACTTGACTCCCTTCTTTCCCTGCCAACCTCTCGCACACAGGCTTTTTGTTTGTGGTTTTTGTTCAAAGGTTCAGAAGCTTATTTAATGGTGCGTATAAAGGTAGCTTCAGGGTAATGATAACATTCAATTCTTCTCACTGAATCCAAAACCACATGTAACTATAGCCAAAAATGATATCTAGGATTTCTTTTCTTTTCATATTTGTTTTTTCTTGACACTTGGTTGAGAAAGTTAGAAGGGTTTAAAAATGTTTTGCCTTTTTGACTATTGCAAAGTAAATATTTTAATTTAGCTTACATTTTTAATGCATTTTAAATTTATAATAATAACAATAGTTTATATAATGTGGAAAAAAGTCATACATAATATCATTACTTTCTATAACTACCATTCTGTTTTCCTTTACAGGCTTTTGCTATATACATATTTTTATGTAATTGTAATTGTGTAATTTTGAACTTAGAAATTTTTTTTGGTAATTCAAAGGAACAACATGACAATGAAGGATATGTATCTTTTACATAGTTCAAAAAAATCACCTAGTGCTAATGAGAATCAGAAAATGACTATTTTCTGGAGTCATGGTGAATTTTGTATTAGTCACACTCGGATGGTGATTTAAAATACTGGTTTATTATGAGTAGTAAGAAATAATTTTATCTTTTAATGTTGAGGAAGGCTTATAGTTGTGTGTATGTGACAGAAGTATAAAGTGTAGAATCTTTAATTTTGTAAATATTGGATTTGACTGTATTGCCTTATAAAAAACTCAAAATAAAAAAATAAAAAGCATTACACAAATTATGAAATTCAAACTGTGTTGTTATAAACAATGTAGCTTTAGGATACATTCTACTCACAAAACAGTCGCATGTAAAATGTTTTTATACACGCATTAAAGAAAAAGAAACTCCTTAAAATGAAGTAACTATTTCCTGTTTCATTTTGTTTGAACAGCTTTTGTTGCTCACTACGAGTTGCTTTAAATCTCTGGGAAGGTCTGTTCCGAATTTACTACTTCTGGATTGGCTAAAATCTCTTTAAAGTGTGTGCTTTGTTCTCTAAAAAGCTTAGGTCAGTTGAGCAACAAGCTCCTCCTGTTTTTTTCTTTTTTTAAAAAAAAGAGCTGAGTAATGCTGGAGGCTTCTCATGTGGCTGATGCAAACCTGGAGAATTTGCATCATCATTTAGCTGTAGTAAGTTGGTGTGACAGGCAGGCGCTTAAATACAAGCCCATGAGGAAGCTGAGCTGGTTTGTAATGATAGGGCGGCAGCAGCAGCAGCAGCAGCAGTGGTGGAACGAGGAGGTGGAGAATTGAGAGCACGATGCATACACAGGTGTTTCTGAGTAGTAATTAGATCGCTGTGAAGGAAAAAGCACACCTTTGAGTTTTCACCTGTGAACACTATAGCGCTGAGAGAGACAGTCTGAAAGCAGAGGAAGACATCGATCAGTAACACCAAGAGACACCAAAGTTGAAAGTTTTGTTTTCTTTCCCTCTGTTTTATTTTTCCCCCGTGTGTCCCTACTATGGTCAGAAAGCCTGTTGTGTCCACCATCTCCAAAGGAGGTTACCTGCAGGGAAATGTTAACGGGAGGCTGCCTTCCCTGGGCAACAAGGAGCCACCTGGGCAGGAGAAAGTGCAGCTGAAGAGGAAAGTCACTTTACTGAGGGGAGTCTCCATTATCATTGGCACCATCATTGGAGCAGGAATCTTCATCTCTCCTAAGGGCGTGCTCCAGAACACGGGCAGCGTGGGCATGTCTCTGACCATCTGGACGGTGTGTGGGGTCCTGTCACTATTTGGTGAGTGCGACTTTTTCTCTCGTGGGGGCGTGGCTGTGGGGCTGGAAAGCTTGCTTTCTGGGAAAGCAAATGGTAGTTTTTGAGGAGTGAATGGATGGCAAAGGCCACACCAAATTTTTAAAATTTTTGTTCGGGTACGTGAACTACCCAGATGCAGCATCCGCTGTTGGTGTGATCTGGAACACCCTCAAATTGCTTCCTACAGGCTGTACTTTCTTTTCCTGACTAAGACAGGCTATCTTCTGACTTTTCTCTGTGGTGATGAGAGCAAAGGCTAACTTTCATGACCCAGTAAAAAACATGCACACTTTCTGTGCCGGGCAGTTGTACACTTAGCTTGGGCATTCTGGCAGCTGGCATGCTGAATGAGACACCTGTGAAGTGGAACCTGGCATGGGCTATTTAGACATAGAACGGAGTGTTCAGCAGAAGTCTTACTGACTTTTTATTAGCCAAACAAATGGGTGGCAGTCTTTATAAAAATATTTTTTAAGTTCATGTGCTTGTCACCTCTTAATATCCTTTCAAAAGTCCTTGACATGGGAGAGATGTATGATGGCGCATAACTCAATCCCTATCATAATGGGGTATATTGCAATGGCCTGAGCATATTTCAAATTACTTTTCAACCTTTCATCTCTTCTCAATACCCATACACTTTTGCAATATAAGTTTTAAAACTTCAGTTGGGCGTTAGTTTTCTGTACTTGCCCAGATCTGTTTTTTTCATTATATTTCACTTGTTCTCCAGGGACACAGAGAATTTGTCCACCTGTTCACTAAATTAATCTGAAGGGAACTGGCAGAAGTATAATTATGAATTTTTCTTCAAAGTTTATGTCTCTTCTATTGATCTGAGAATTAATAGTAAAGAGGTAAATAAATGCCCCCTTATGGAGTAGGCAAATTACTAGAGAGCTACCTGAGTTTGTTGTAAAGATGATAAAAACTGGTGAACTGTCAAACATTAAATTTGATTTATGCTATGAGGATTTATTTACTCTTCTTGGGAAAGATTCTGTACTTTAAAGTTGCTCTTTGTCTTAACTCTGGGACTAACACTAACTAACAAGTACTAACGCTAACTCTAGGACTAATTAACAAGTACTAACTCCTGTTCCCATGTGTACCAATCAATTCATTCTTTCTACTCAGGCCTTGTGATGTTTTAAATCATTGGTTTGACACTCATCTAGAGAACTCAAATTCCATTTTTTTTTTTTTTTTGAGACAGAGACTCGCTCTTTGCCCAGGCTGGAGTGCAGTGGTGTGATCTCGGCTCACTGCAACCTCCGCCTCCCAAGTTCAAGCAATTCTCCTGCCTAAGCCTCCCGAGTAGCTGGGACTACAGGTGTGTGCCACCACGTTGGGCTTATTTTTCGTATTTTTTAGTAGAGATGGGGTTTCACCATGTTAGCCAGGATGGTCTCGATCTCCTGACCTCGTGATCCACCCACCTCAGTCTCCCAAAGTGCTGGGATTACAGATATGAGCCACCGCGCCCGGTCCTCAAATTCCATTTTTAGGAAGAAGTTATTTTAAATAGAACTTGTTAAAACAAGTAGTATAGAAAGATTTATAGAGGAATTATTTGGGGTTTTTAGAGAGAGTTTGTGGTATTATTTATAACTAACTTGTGCTTTATTAAATATTCAGTAACAATTGTGTATCATTATTTCCCAGTATTACTTCCCATCTTTATAAAATAATTTGGAGTAATATCATTATGAAAAACTCTAATAGTACCCTTAGCCACTATTAATATTAAAATAGCTCTGGTATATGCACTTATAGAAAAAGAGAAACCTAATTGTTGATCATCTTAAATGATTTTGTGCACCCTCAGCCTTTAAATCTTCCTACAGCACTTTATATATTCAGAATAAATCAATATCTAATCAGAAAAACCACAACCAGTTTACTGGACTTTGCGTACTTATGTGCATGCAGCTTCCACTATGTGATTCAATTTTTGCACATAATAAAAGATTATTCAGATGTAATAAAATAGATCAGTATGAGTATTGAACTAGTTAAAGTGTGTTGACTTGCACTATGAAAATATGCTTATGCATAAGTATTACATATCATCTGAAGCAAAAGCTCAAAAAAAAATAAAAAGAGAGAAACAGCTAAGGAGACTAGCTAACATTACACTTGAGTTGGTATTCTTTGATTAGTAATTGCAGGGAGTGTGCTCTTGTATTAATCTACTTATCTTTATTTGCATTGCATTTGTCACTTAAGTTACCAGAAGCTTTTGGACAGGAGTGCCTCTGTAACAGCAAGCAAAGCAAAATCTGAAGAAAAAATAATCCTTCTTTTTAAAAAGACTCTAGAACTTTGGGACCAACTGTAAAGAATCTGTACATTTGGTTTAATACATATATATACTTTTTTTTTAAGTGAAGGGTCAATACATGGATTTTTACATCTTGTTTTGAACTTTTTTCATCTGGGCAAAATGGTTATGAAGCTTGAGACCTTTAAATGAAAATCATTCCCCCAGAACTCAGTTTAAACCTAGGGCAACCATCCTGGAGTTTCAGTAAAGCATATAGAGGTCTAGGTATTGATTCTCTGACAATAAATTCTGAGGTACTTAAGACTCTTCCCAATAACATTTTATATTGGATCCTTTTCTGGACAGCCTACCAACATGGCGAATGTTTCCCCATGGAGAGTGAGTTGCAACTAGTTAAAATTAGTTATAGGTAGATGAAATACATCAGTGTTCCCCAAATATTAGTCTGCAGACTCGTTACTTTAGAATTATTTGTACAAATTTTAAAATGATAGAGATTCTTGAATTTCTCTTGTGGACAATCTATACTCTCTTGATTAGAGTCTGTTTTTGGTTTGAGTGTTTTCGAATTAAAAATTATTCCCAGACTGAGCATGGTGGCTCATGCCTATAATCTCAGCACATTGGGAGGCTGAGGCAGACAGACCCCTTGAGCCCAGGAGTTCCAGACCAGCCTGGGCAACATGGCAAAACCCTGCCTCTACAAAAAATACACAAAAATTTAGCTGGGCATGGTGGTGTGTACCTGTGGTCCCAGCTACTTGGGAGGCTGACGTGGAAGGATCACTTGAGCTCAGGAGGCAGAGGCTGCAGTGAGGCAAGATTGTGCCACTGCACTCCAGCCTAGGTGCCAGAGTGATACCCTATCTCAAAAATTAAAAAAAAAAAAAAATTATTCCTAGGTGACTTTGATGTCATGATAAGTTTAGAAATCAGATATAAAATATGTAACACTAAGATTTCACTGAATATCCAAATTATATTTATATTGAGCAGTTCTGTCTAAATTATTACTAATCAGTAGTACTTTTCTACACTTTTATTCTCAGAAGTAGATTGGAAAAAAATTGTGTTCTTACATTTGAGCACTTGGCAGTACAGATAGAACTTTTCACATAATGACAGGATTTTTTTAAATTTTCTTGTTAATTACTCAAATTAATAAGTATAGCTATATTTCATGTGGTGCTTGCCATGTGTCAGGCCATGTACTGTACTAGGTACCCGCTGCCACATTTATACACACAACTCCTTTATGAGGTAGAAGCTGAGATCTCCATTTCACAGAGAGTGAAACTGAGGTTTTGGGGAGTTGCATATTTGTCCAATTTTATGTGAATTGTATCGTTAAATGTTAAAAATTTAGCTTATAGTTAATTTGATCTAAAGTACACAAATATAAATTATAGCACCTCATTTTAAAAAGTATATTCTGGGCCGGGCGCAGTGGCTCACGCCTGTAATCCCAACACTTTGGGAGGCCAAGGCAAGCAGATCACCTGAGGTCGGGAGTTTGAGACCAGCCCGACCAAAATTGAGAAACCCTGTCTCTACTAAAAATACAAAAAATTAGCCAGGCGTGCTGGCAGGCACCTCTAATCCCAACTACTTGAGAGGCTGAGGCAGGAGAATCACTTGAACCCTGGAGACAGAGGTTGCAGTGAGCAGAGATCGTGCCACTGCACTGCAGCCTGGGGGGACAGAGTGAGACTCCATCTCAAAAAAAAAAAAAAAAAAAAAAAAAAAAAAATATATATATATATATATATATATATATATATATATATTCTGGCTAGGCGCAGTGGCTCACACTTGTAATCCCAGCACTTTGGGAGGCCGAGGTGGATGGATCTTCTGAGGTCTGGAGTTCAAGACCAGCTTGGCCAACATGGTGAAACCCTGTCTCTACTAAAAATATGAAAATTAGCCAGATGTGGTGGCAGCCACCTGTAATCCCAGCTATTCGGGACCCTGAGGCAGGAGAATTGCTTGAACCTAGGAGGCAGAGGTTGCAATGAGCTGACAGCGCCATTGCACTCCAGCCTGGGTGACCAAAAATTCCATCTCAAAAAAACAAAAAACAAACAAAAAAAAACACCCAGAGAGTACACTTCAAAAAACATCCAAGATAGCCTTTTATAGAAACAGAGTCAGAATTCATTTTGTTGACAAAATATATCCTACAAATTAAATGAAATCTTGGCCGTGCACAGTGGCTCACACCTGTAATCCCAGAACTTTGGGAGACCAAGGCGGGCAGATCATGAGGTCAGGAGATTGAGACCATCCTGGCTAACACCATGAAACCCCGTCTCTACTAAAAATACAAAAAAAATTAGCCAGGCGTGGTGGCGGGCGCCTGTAGTCCCAGCTTCTCGGGAGGCTGAGGCAGGAGAATGGTGTGAACCCAGGAGGCAGAGCTTGCAGTGAGCCGAGATCGCGCCACTGCACTCCAGCTTGGGCGACAGAGTGAGACTCCGTCTCAAAAAAAAAAAAAAAAAAAAGAAATCTTGCAAGTCAGAGAGTCCATGGTTTTCTAAAGAGTGGATACAGCTTGTTCATTTTGATTTTCCACAGAAACATAATTTATTAAAAGGGTTCTCAAAAAATAACTCAAAAAACTTAAAAGCTAACTCAAACATTTGGACTAATGCCTTGTCTTGGTGTGAGGTTGTGTTCTTCTAAAAATAGGTCAATATTATTGACATCTCTCTCCTCTTTTTCCCCTATTTCCAGGTTTTCAGCTCAAAATTCTGGAACACATGATATTGTTGCAGACATGTATCTTTGTCATTTCAAGTAAAATTATAGTGTTCAAATAGAATACACTAAATCTCAACTGTGAGGATGTTAGAAAAGGAACTTGGCGGGTCTTAGCAATTAGATGATGGTTATTTGTCTTGAGTAAGGATGCCATTCAGACCAAAGGAGGCAGTTACATCTCAGGCAACATATAAACATTATTGTATCTATTCTAATGCTGGGTGTCTTGAAAATGTATTAAATTGGTACCATTTTGTGACAAATATTTCACAGGAGCTTTGTCTTATGCTGAATTGGGAACAACTATAAAGAAATCTGGAGGTCATTACACATATATTTTGGAAGTCTTTGGTCCATTACCAGCTTTTGTACGAGTCTGGGTGGAACTCCTCATAATACGGTAAGAGCATAGTAGAAAGAATTAAGAAAAAATAAACCAATTCATTCTTATGAATCACCTTGATTATTTTTAACTGGTTAGACACATGCATGTCATGTGACTACATGATAAACATGTCTACCTCAGGATATAAAGCCTGTGATAAAGTACCTTTCTGAATTAAGATATTTTTAATGCAATTTTATCACTGACAAGCAGTTCACCAGCAATGCCAAACTTTTAGAAATATCTACCTTTCTTTGACCCTCAGCTATTCTCTTTGACACTTCCAGGAGAAAGATGCTTACTTGAAAGAATATGAACATGAAAATTCACCTGGATACCTTTTGACCAACTAGACCAAATTAAATATTGAAGTTTTCTCTTATTGTAGATTATATCATTAAGGCATTTAACTTTACTTAGTCATTGTGACCAAGACACTTCTGTGCCTCACAACTTAGTTGGTCACCAAGTCTTATACTTCATAAAAAACAGAGTTTGCATGACAGAGTCAAATGACTCATTTCCTTATATTAAACAGATTAGGAACTACAGTTCCAAAAGTCTTTTTTGATTTTATTGTTGTAACAATGTGTTTACATTCCTGCTTGTCTTGGTTTAAAATCACACTGAATAGTGCTAAGTCACTCTGAATAGCAAATTTCCTTCGACTTTGTGGGAAGCTTATGATGTCATATGAGCATTTCAGAGTATCACAGTTCCTTAAGGCTAACTACTTTGATAAAATGTGATGTGCACAGTCTGATTACAGAATTTAATGGATATTACTAGGGAAACTTGCTCTTATCAAACTTATCAAACATATGTGATTGAGAGTTCATGTGAGCTTTTATGGCTAAGTGCCAAATACAGTGCTAGTAAGTATTGACAACACTAATCATGAGTTTTACAGTGTTAGAAGTCTTTTTTTTTTTAACCAAAAAAAGATCTTCAAAGTAGTATATGCTTCATGAAGGCTTTTTCATTTTAAACACTCTGCATTATTTAAAATTGTTATAATGAAATAATAATAAGTATTTTTTTCCTTTCCTGAAATTCCTCTATCAGGAATGCACTTCTATTCCTTTTGGTTATCTCAATCTTATCTGCTCTTCAAAGGTCATCTTAAATCCTTTCTTTCCCACAATTAATTTCCTGTTTATTCTAATTTATGTTATTTCTTTCATCTCTAAATTCTTCTGAAAATTCTATCTCTGCTTCACATTTGGCATTGAGCATGATACCTTCTATTCTTCCTTAATATTTTAGGTGTCTATATTTTGTTTCCCTTTTAAAACTGCCAACATTTCAAGCATACAAAGATAAGATCTTTTTGTAACCCATATACTACTTAGGTCAGTGCCCTTTTTTTGGCATATATTAAATTATTTTTGAATAAGTAATTGAAAGTTTAAAGTTACAATATATTGTGTACAACATACTCAGCATTCAAATGCATGTACTACTTATTGACTGCTGGCCTGTCAGGCTGGCGGGCTTTGGAGCTTAATACAGTTGGACTTGACTCCGTCTTCAGCCATGTATTAGTTGTGTAACTTTGGCTCATTGCTTAGCATTATGATGAACATGATCATTCCATATAAATATAGCTTATATCTTACAGTAGCACAGATAAAATATTCATATATTAATTTATTTATTCCACAAACTGCTACTGAATGGTAAATGGCAATAAAAAGAGATCTAAAATGAAATCAGCCACAATTTCTGCTCCCAGGTAGCGGATAATCAAATGTTACTTTAATTTAAAAAAAAAAACTACTTTTCTCTGTGTGTGTGTGTCTGTTGACAGAGGAAAGTACCTTTGTATTCTAGAAGCTTTTAAAATATGTTCATATATCTCTTTGTCATAACATACTCATATTGCTGAGTTGGCCTTTTAAATAGGCAGAATAACAAATGACATGAGGAGGGACAAAATATCTAAGTATGTAAATATTTCTCTTCTTTTACTAATACCCATAGTTCCTAAGTACTTCCCATTAAAATTATACCTTTAGATTAAGTTAGTATTGCCAGAAATAATCTGTAAAACACAGATTTCAAGGACAGAAATATTATCTATCTGTACACAGCAGGGGTCATTAAACCGAATTTGCGTGTGCACTATATATTCAATATATATTGGGTTTCCACTATATGATAGACACTGTTCTAAACACTGGAGGTAAAACTGTGATTAAGATAGATATGATTTTGTACCCTTAGAGCTCAGAGTCAAGTGGGAGGAAATCATTATCAATCGAGAAATCACATAGGTAAATATAAAATTGCTATTGTGATAAGCACTGTGGAAGACAGGCCAAGGGCTTCAGTATGAATATACTCCAAGAGATCTGGCCCAGTCATAGGTTGGAGAAGTTTTCCCCTGGGAAAGGAAAATTGAACTAAGATCTGAAGTATAAAACATAGTCAATTAGTTGCAGAGGCTGCAGGCAGAGAAGATTCATATCCTTCTAGTGGGAAGAAGCTAACTGAAGAAGTAGGGAGAGCTTAGACCAGATGGAGCCTTGAATGCAATGTGAAGGCTTTTTGCATATCCTGAACATATTTTGAAAGCACTAAAATGACATAATCAGATTTTAAATTATACATAAAAAATTGTATAAATGATGGAGAATAGGATAAACAGTTTTGTTTGGGGAAGATGGGAGGGTGTCTAGGAAAAGAAGAAAATGAAAAACCTTATGCCGCTCTCCAGTATCAGCCGGCCAAAGTTGGGAACATGTAATGCTGGTTGGTTTTCTGATAATCTATGGATCGGGCATGAATGTTGGGTAACCACGAGAAGAAAGAGAAGCTAAAAAGGAAGTTTGGCATAAGAAATTAGATAATTGCTGCCGGGCACGGTGGCTCACGCCTGTAATCCCAGCAGTTTGGGAGGCCGAGGCAGGTGGATCATCAGGTCAGAAGTTCGAGACCAGCCTGACCAATATGGTGAGACCCTGTCTCTATTAAAAATACAAAAAATTAGCCAGGCATGGTGGCATGCACCTGTAATCCCAGCTACTCAGGAGGCTGAGGCAGGAGAATTGCTTGAACACGGGAGGCGGAGGTTGCAGTGAGCTGAGATCGTGCCACTACACTCCAGCCTGGGGGACAGAGTGAGACTCCATTTCAAAAAAAAAAAAAAGAAATTAGATAATTGCACAGACTTGCATGTTTATGGAAAAAATATGCATTCATATATACATACATCTAAAATGAAAAGGTCTGTGCAATTTTCTCATAAAAATATTTGAAGAATTAAAATAGAAAGATGTATTACCTATATTTCTATATACCTGAATTTATTTCATATTCTTGTCTCATTTATATTTTCTTAATTGTATCAGATTATAATAAATCTATTATTTTTAAATTTATATTTTATATCTGAATGTTACTATAGGATTAAGAATAATCACTTGACTTTGAGTTTTTGTCTGTACAGAAAAAATAAAACAATGTCAAATATTTAGGCATGTATTTGCAGGGAACACTTAATACTAATTTTTTAGGTTGAGTGTTGTGTTCATTCTTTTGACTATGCCCTGACACATTAGATCTGTATGGCATTAATTAATTCATAATATGGCTGAAGTTTACTTACTGACTTTTTGAGAAAGAAGATGGCTTCCTGTAAGCCTAGCTCTGTCAAGATCTCATGTAATAAACCAGATTTTTAAGGAAAAGTCAAATATGGGAGAGCAGGGGAAAAGTTGATAGTACTTACCCTTGTTCCCAAGAATATGTGAAGTTTAAAATCTAGCCACCAGTGTTACAGGAAGTACTTCATTTGGAATGTCTATGGCAACCTAATCAAGTACGGAATTCTGAAAACTATGGACTTTCATATTTAACATGTTCCATATGCTAAATACACTCAAGGTAGAAAAAATTAATGAAAATGCAGTTTTTTCCCCTGTGGTTAACCTAAATATATACATTTTTTTTTAGCCCTGCAGCTACTGCTGTGATATCCCTGGCATTTGGACGCTACATTCTGGAACCATTTTTTATTCAATGTGAAATCCCTGAACTTGCGATCAAGCTCATTACAGCTGTGGGCATAAGTGAGTATTATAGCTATATATGTGAAAAAGGAAAAACAACACAAAAATGATTGAAGACAAAGTGTCTTTAGACTTTTTGCATTGCGGGATTGCCTCTCACATCATGTTCTTTTTGCTTACAGTTCCAAATTTCTACTGGAAGGATTTGGAGTGGGATCCAATACTGTATTCCATGCCAGTTTTGTATTTGGTCAATAGATATGATGGCTAATCTTTTTAAATAGTAAAAATCACCTTACTAGTAAAATATTAAGTCTATTATACATGAACAAGACTTTTAAAGAGAAAACCCCAATTATTTTAGAGACTACTTGAATTGGAAATTAGCTATATATTGAATTATATCTCATGTGTAATCATGGAGTTACCTTTATGTAGTGGGTGTTTAAGTTGTACTTATACATTTTGTAGTGTTAGCAGCTGTCACTCCCAGTGTTATAATGTCAGCTGCCTGTTGTTGGTCATGAAAAGAATTTTCTTTTAAGATTGATTATTAGTAGTATTTTCTAACTAGATTTCTTTATGGTCTCCAAATTAAGAAGTTGTTCATCTTTTATCAATGGGCACAAATATTCATTGATTAAAAAAAGAAACAAAAAGAAGAACATGTACAAAATTGCATGAGTGATATGAAGCCATATATGACTCTAATTCCCCAAAAGATGCCAGGTACCAAATCCTTAAATATGGGAAAGGATAACTTAATTCTAGGTGCCATTTGAATCACTGTCTTAAGAATCAATATGATCACATTTAACCGAGTTTTAGCTACTCATAAAGAGAAAGCTACACAGGAATAACTCAACTGCATAATCGTGGAAGAATTTTTAGTTTGTATGGCTAAGGTGTTTCAATGGGACAATGCCTGGGGTATTGCCTGTAATTTACTTATTGCCTGTAATTCATTTATTTATTTTTAATTAAAATTTAAAAAATAGATTTAGGGGGTACAGTGCAGTTGTGTTACGTGGATATATTGCGTAGTGGTGGAGTCTGGGCTTTTAGTGTAACCATCACCCAAATAGTGTACATCGTAGATATTAAGTAATTTTCATCCCTTATCCTCCTCCTACCCTCTCATCTCTCTGAGTCTCCGATGTCTATTATTTCACACTCTACGTCTATGTGTATACATTATTTAGCTCCCACTTATAAGTGAGAACCTATGGTATTTGACTTTCTTTTTCTTTAATTCCACTTAAAATAGTGACTTCCAGTTCCATCCATGTTACTGGCAGCAAAGACATTATTTTATTCAATTTATTAAGAAGACAATAAAAAATGGTAACTATTTATACTTTTGGAAAAACATCATTTGATGTTCCAGGAGACTAGAGACCTATTCATTGCTGTATTTCCAGCCCCTCACTTAGCTCCTAGCATGTTGTTGGTGGTGCTCAGTAAGTATTTGTTGACTTGATTTTCTGAGAAGTCTAAGAATTTTTTCTCCGGCAGAAAAGTCTATAGTCTGTTTACTTGTTAAACTTGGAGGATTAGATATCTTCAGTATATTTCCAGGCAGTGGGAAAATGATAAAAATGAAATAGAGTTTGCTTCATATTATGTTCAGATCTAGCAGTCTAAGTTTTTGAGGGTTGAACCATTTGAGCATAGTGGTTACAGTTTAGGCTTTGGAGGGAAACAACCTGGAATTGAAGCTTGGTGTTACAATTCTTAGTTTTGTGATCTTGTGCTAATTTTTAAACCTATTTAAGCCCCAGTTTTATATATTAGGAAAATGCCTATGAAAAGATAATCTATTAATATCTTGAATAGCTGAAGGAAGATGAAGTTAAGCCAAATTTTTTGTTTGGGTCACATTCTTTTTCATTATTTTTTCTTTTTTTTTTTTTAGCTTTCATTTTGAGTTCAGGGGTACATGTGCAGTTTGTTACATAGGTAAACTCGTGTCATGGGGGTTTGGTGTACAGATTGTCTCATCACCCAGGTACTAAACCTGGTACCCAAGCTATTTTTTTCTGATTCTCTCCCTCCTTCCAAACACCCTCAAGCAGGCCCAGTGTCTGTAGTTCCCCTTTGTGTTAATGAGTTGTCATCATTTAGCTCCCACTTATACGTGAAAACATGCAGTATTTGGTTTTCTGTTCCTGTGTTAGTTTGCTAAGGATAATGGCCTCTAGCTCTATCCATGTTCCCGCAGAAGACATGATCACAGTCAGATTTTTAAGACCTTTAACAGAGTGCCTTGCCTATAGAAAGTTCTTGATAAGTCCACTGTTCCACTAAGGGACTGAACTAACAGCCATTGTTATATTCACCATTTTCTTGTCCCTTGAATGACTGAGGCAGAATCATATCACAATTATTATATTTAAAAAAGAGAAGAGCAGGGGTGGCATTTTTGAGAGCTCTGTAAATTAACAATGATAGTTATTAATTAAAAGCCATAACCAGAAGACTAAGTAGATTGCATGTAAACATTTATAAATCCACAAATTTTACTCACTTTGGAGTTAAACTTATATGAATACTAATGCTATATTTATGTTTTTATAAGTCTAGATAACTCTTTTCTTGTTTATCCCAATTCAATTAAACATTTTAAAGGGAAAATTCGTATCTCTGAGGATTAAATGAAAACTGCTCAAACTAAACTTTAAAACAGTTCTAGGAAAGGATAACCATATTGGGGTTTACAAAACCTCTGTAGTAGACATTGGTGACGGAATAGTTAACAAGGAGCCTGAGGAAATCTTAGATGAACCCAGACATTTCCTTCTATTTTTGCCATAAGTTATTACATTCATTTTTAAATTTTGATGTTCCTTTTGCAAGCTTGAAATTCGGAGAAAGAAATGTGTACCCATAATCAGCAACAGTTAAAAAGCAAACTGGATATCCTTATGACTCAGTGGTAGGTAATGTAAATCAGTGCCCTAATTGGGAAAGTCAAACTGTCTGTAAGAAAAATTTAGCTTTAATGGTGCAACAGCGGGTGGAGATGGAGATAGAGAAGGAGAAATTTATCTAGGGGCAAATCTCTCACACCCTGCTTTCTTCAAAGTGAGTCTAGGTGATTTTCTACCTGTTAGGGGTGGAAGGTTAACCAAGATGTAGAAAACAGAGTTGAATTGCATGAATTGCTTCCCTGTGATCCCTGGGGAAGGAAACAGTTCGTGGTCATTTGAAATCTCTAGTTAAGCATAGAAAAAGGGCAAACCTGAAGGGTCTTGCTACATCATAGAAAAAAAGAATTTCAAATTTTGTGAAATGTTAGCCAACCATTTGAGAGATGATAATGGGATAAGGGTGGGGGGTTAAGTAAATACTAATTCACCCCCATTTTTTTAAGTACTGTATTTCATTTCTGTCAAATTTAATGAAGATAAAAAAGTTTTTGCTTATACAAATTTCATCCATTCCAGTAAACATGTCAGGTGCGTGGAAGTTAAGATGGAAAATCTTATAGATTTGCATTTGGCTGCTCTCTTATAGCTCAATATTTAATTACTTTCGTTTGTTCTTTTTTTTTTTTTTTTTTTTTTTTGAGACGGAGTCTTGCTCTGTCGCCCAGGCTGGAGTGCAGTGGCATGATCTTGGCTCACTGCAAGGTCTGCCTCCTGGTTTCACGCCATTCTCCTGCCTCAGCCTCCAGAGTAGCTGGGACTACAGGCGCCCACCATCACGCCCTGCTAATTTTTTTGTATTTTTAGTAGAGACGGAGTTTCACCATGTTAGCCAGGATGGTCTCGATCTCCTGACCTCATGAGCCGCCCGCCTCGGCCTCGCAAAGTGCTGGGATTACAGGCATGAGCCATCGCGCCCGACCTGTAATTACTTTCTTCACCTTCTGTAGAAGTTCATGAATTTTCACTGCTTTTATAGATTCAATAAGCATTGAAGTATGCTCAATATTTAAAATATTTATCTGTTCTGTATTCCTGAAATTGGACCCTATATAATTATACACTTGAATGTCAGAATATTATAATAAAAATATTCTCCTTAAGATACGAGATCTAGTCCCAGATCCATCCCTAACACCATCAATTGTTGGATGTCAATTTCCTTGCTAGTTTATTTTATCTATATAAAATAAAGATGAGTTAAGAACCCCATCCTAATTCTCAAACTTTTGAAAGTAATTGGGAGGAACAAGCAAAAATAACATTTGTGATTGTATTGTGAAAAAAATTACCCAGTTCTGCAAACGTATTACTTTATATTCTTTTTGAAATCTATATTTTCCTGGCACCATTAAATTACATAAAAGAAAATCTAGGACTATTTCTGTGTTAACACTTCAAATACAGCATATGAAGTGGCTCTGTTTAAATCTTTGAAATCTGGCTATACCTACTTCTTTTCTACCATAAGTAACTTAGCAACACAACCAATTCTTAGGTAAATAAACATAGTATTAAAATATACAAGTACTGCAGAACAACTATCACATACTTTAGGAGGATGACATGCAAAATGTGGAAACAAAGGGTCCTGTAGCTAACATAAATGTGAACTTTTGCAGAGAGAAAGAGCCATCAAGAGTTTAAAAGAACTAGGTACACCAAGGGGATCATGTATGTCTTTTGAACTACTTCCTCATTGTTGCCTGGGAACTAATGGTAAAAGTGTGGGCTCCAGAGTTAGATTACCTGGGCTCCAGACCCATCTTCACTGTTACTACCTATGCAAACATGCGCAAGTTAAACAATATCTTGAGTCTCAGCTGCTCATCTGAAAAATAAAGCCAATAAAATGACTATGTCATAGAGATATGAGGATTAAATAACATTATTCATGTAAAGTCTTTGTACAATGTCTGCCATAAAATAAGTTTATATTTATATATCACTTAACATTTTTATTCCCAATAGTGAGATCCTAGATACAAACTGTCACTCTGCTTTTTAAAGGGTTTGTTGCTACCTGTCTTCTCTAAAATTAATGCATCCAGGAGATGAATTCTAATAAAAAGATAAAAGGAATCCAGGCAGTCATTACAAAACAGCAGTGAAACAACCCACTTTATCTCAACATGTAACATACATACACAATATCCATATATTTTATCAGTTAAGCACAAAGTACTCAGAATTCAGAAGCCAAGAAGAACCTGACCCTGGGAGAAAACCCAATATATCTAGACTCTGTAATCTCACTCTTCAAAACCCAAAGACAGACTTGAATTACATAGTGCAGAAAGAAATACTTGCCAGTCCTTAAATCACAGCTTCAGTCCTTAACATTCCCCTAAACATCCTCTTCAAATATAGCTTCCTTCAAATATGTATTTCTTATCTCCAGGATTTATAGATATCACTTCCATTGCCACATTTCAGTTCTTAGGAAACTGCATCATAAATAAGTAAATAAAAACTATATGTCCCTGTATTTTTATTTTGGTAAAATTTAAGGGGAGCATACAAAAGAATGCCCAGACTGATATAATTATTTCCTCATGTGTGAAATTAGCAAATTGTTATTCAAAGGAAGTAAAACTAGGACCAGAGAGCTGGCCCAGATTTCTTTCATTATTGCAATGTGGGTAAGGTAGTATTTTTTAAAAGTATATATTATTTGTTTCAGAAACTTAGAAAGCTCTTGCATTTAGTGAATCCCAAGTCCCTTTTCAATATTGTTGGAGAAGCAACATACATAGACATAAATTTCACTGTAAAGACACGTGATGAAACAGCAGTTATAGCCACCGGAGAAGCTTCACTGTACCTCTCGCTGGCTGCCTTGTTACTTGTTAAACTGTGCCTTCAGGGTAATTCAGGGGCATCTCAGCTGGAATTTAGTGTACCAAATAATGAGTACAATGTCTGGATGCTCAGATAAAGCAGGGTTTTAAGAACCCTTTGAAAAAAATTCATCTTTTTTTTTCTTAAAAAGTTTCATTGAGGTGTAATTGACATACAATAAACCACACATGCTTTAAATGTACAGTTTGATAAAGTGTGATGTATGTATTCACCTGTGAAACTATCACCACAATCAAGTACCCAGCAATGGGATTGCTGGATCATATGATAGATTTATTTTTAGTTTTTTGAGACACTTCCATACTGTTTTCTATAGTGGCTATACTAATTTACATTCCCACCAGCAGTGTACTAGCATCTTAATGAGAATTTTTGTTAAGCTATCTGAGAGGAAAGCAGGGTGAGATGATCAATTCATAATATCTGTTTAATTTTGTCTTCCATTTGCCTAAGAAAACTTTACAAAGTATTTTTTAAAATCCCAAATACCCAGTTTTTTTAATATTTCAATAGACATTAGGTACTTATACTCTTTATGAAAGTAACAAAACCTCTTTCTTATTTTCAAACATATAGTTAGTTGTTCCAAAAATAAGAATGCCTCTCTCTCTCTCCTTCCTTCCTCCCTGCCTGCCTCTTTTCGTTTTTATCCTTCTCCTTTCCTCTCCTTTCTTTTTCTCTCTTTCTCTCTATATAACAGTTCTTTTCTACTGTGGAAAGAACTTTCATAAATACAGAGTGCTTTGGGTTTTAGGAGCCCTATTTGAAAGAAAACACTGCCCTTTTGTTGCTGGTGGCCACATGAGACAATTTTTTCACTTTTACACCAACGTTGAACCTCCTTAATTAAAACAATAATCATTATTGTGTAATGACTCATCACACAGTCATTTGCATAGAAAAGGAAAGGAATCACTGGATGATGGAGCAGGGAGCAGAGTTACACTAACTTATTTTCCATATATAAGTGCCTTATATTGGGGAGAGATAAATAATTTTATTTTTGTGATTCCTCTGATAAAATAATGCACTTTGTCATTGACAACAGACCTGTCTATCCCTTCATGTTTTCAGCTTCCAACACAGATGAAATAACCCCCCTTAGATGCCCCTGTAGCTTATTCAGGGGTTTGGCCTTTTTGATCATTCTCATAATTACTCCTTTGAAATATTTCTTCGTTAGTAACCCTGTATTTCACTTTGTATGAGATCTTCTGATCCCTTATTTTTCCCATCTTGGAGTTTTTTCCAAAAACAAAATGTATTTTATTGCTTCATTTACTTTTGAAAATTTTTTCATCTTTATTGAGGTATATACAACAAATAAAATTGTAATTTTAGGGTGTACAATGTAATGATTTTATTTATATATATATATATATATATATATATATATATAGTGAAATTATTGTCTCAATCAAGTGAGTTAACACCTCTGTCACATCATTTAGTTACCCCTCTTTTTTTTGTTTTGTTCTGTGGTGAGAACATTTAAGTATATTTCAAGTATACAATTCAGTATTTGAAACTATAGCCACCAAAATGCTATATGTTCATCATAAAATTTATTAAACTATTCCTAAAAATAAATTTAAAAAATTGAAAATTATTTAGTGTTCTATCACTTATAAACACCTGCTGTTGATGTTTTGGTAAATATGTTTCCAGATCTATTTCTCCTTCCTTCCTTCCTTCCTTCCTTCCTTCCTTCCTTCCTTCCTTTCATCCTTCCTTCCTTCTTTTCCTTCTTCCTTCCTTCCTTCTTTCCATCCATTCCTCTAACTTGCTGTATTGATCAGTAATATATCATGAATATCCTTTCTTGTAATAAATATTTAACTGCCTCATAATTTTAAGTGGCTGCATATAAACTATTAAAATGATATACCTTAATTAGCCTTCCTTTAGGAGGTTTAGGCTATTTCCATTTTTTTGCCTTTAAAGATTATGTGTTGCTGACATTTGCATTGATTGTTAAATTCTGAAGTGAGCTAGTAACTATATCAGGCAGTGAAAACTGTGAGGCGGACTCATTACTATATATAAGGAAAACTTCCAATTTCAATTTGAATAATAAGAATTCTGTAGGAGTTTTGTTTCATTCTTTGAGAAATATCTTTACATTTTAAATATTTGTTTAGGGAGAATATACCTTTATAAATATAAAGGTTATAGTTAATAACTGTAAATGTCAGGAATAAAGTAGTGTTTTGGGTTGTTCCAAGCATAAGGTTGTGGAAAGAGTATAAAGTTGAAAACCACTGTCTAGAATAACCTCAGTCATCCCAGCAGAGTAGGGGAGAAAGGTCTTAGAGCATCACCATTTCCCTTGTGCCTTAGATTTTCTAACTGAGGATCCAGTTCATTCATTCAACAAAAATGTATTAAGTTACCTGGGCCAGGCATGGAGCTGGATACCAGCGATACAGCGATGAATAACCCTTGCTCTATCCTTGAGGTTTTCATGGTCCACAAGGTGTCGAAGGTGGATAGTTATTGCTGCTTGGGAAATTGTAGACAGCATCAGTAAGAATGAAAAATTCTTCTGGCTTTGAACCCAATGTGCATTCTAGCCTGGTTAGTCTTTTGCACTCATCACTTAGAATATTGTGCTGAAGCCCTGAAACATATCTTGAAAAACTATACTTGTACGGTGGGTTGAAAGTCGCCCCTTGACATGCTAATTAGAAAGAAGACAACCAAAAGAAAAGTGCTGCCTGAGGCTAGTCCTGAGAGTGAAAAATAAGATCTGAGCCAACTTCTACACTTCTTGCTCCTTCTTGAGTGTGATCCACATTGGCAGGCATACCATCATAGAGACAGGAAAGAGTTGTCACATCAAGCTAGACAGTGAAATTCAGCCATCTGATTGGATGCTGGGTTTGGTTAGAAGACATTTTTATGTGATTGTTAGAGTACTACAATATATGTCCACTCTTACATACAAAGAACAAGAGAAGAATTCTTATTGTCCAGAGGCTTTATCCATGTTTCTCAAACTTCAATGTGCATAAAAACCAGCTGGAGAACCTGTTGAAATGTAGATTTGTATTCATTAGGCCTGGGGCAGAGCCTGAGATTCTGCATTTCTAAAACACTTCTAAGTAATGTCAACACTGCTGCCTCACAGATTGCCCTTTGAGTAACAAGGACCTAAAATGTCTTTGTGCCAGTGAGAATTCACCTTTTGTAACTTCCTCTATTTGTTTGCAGCTGTAGTGATGGTCCTAAATAGCATGAGTGTCAGCTGGAGCGCCCGGATCCAGATTTTCTTAACCTTTTGCAAGCTCACAGCAATTCTGATAATTATAGTCCCTGGAGTTATGCAGCTAATTAAAGGTATGGACTGAAAAGCAAATGCTTTTTAAAATACGTATCTGCTTTTGGTCTTTTTTAACACTAACTTTTGCTTGTACTAACAGAATCCTTAATTAGTCTCTGCCTGTGGAACTTAAACTCTATATTGTCATCTAATTGATTTGAAAGGCTGCTACATTGTGAGTGAGTTGGTTTTTACAGTTGAATGGCAGAAAGAGGATTAAGAATGGGCCATGCAACAAAATAAGGCATCAGTGAATTTTCTAGGTTTAATGGTTTGGAGTGAAAACTCGAAGTGGAAAAAAAAAAAACCTGCCACTTAGTTTTAATTAAAGATAAATATGTCTTTTTTTTACTTTAAAATTGTCCAATAATAGTAATAAAAATTAAAGAGAAAAAGGTATCTGGAAAGTGATAAAAGATGATCAATAATTCTTTGACTTTCTGGTTATTATTCCTTTTAAATTGAGAGTGGTATCCTCAACAGAGGAGTCAATACGGGAACAGCATTCCTAAACACCAAAATTATATCACAATAAAATAGTTGTAAAAACTTAATTTTTATTGTTACATTATTTTTAATATAAAATTCGCATTTCTGCGATTACTTGCTTTATAGAGTTTAACATTTAATTTAAAAAAAGAAATTGAGAGGTGACATTTAGAGTTTTTGTTTTAGGAAAGAAGGCACATGCAGTTGCTTGGATTCAGTGGAAATTGTTGGAGGACAGAGATTCACATGTGGTATTTAATTAGCAACAGGAATATAGCAGGAAATAAAGTGAGAAGAAATTGTAAAGGAATGACATAACTTGGGCATGTTAAGTATTTAATGTTTACATTGATATTGTCTGTTCCAAGAAAGGGAATCTAGAGAAATTTAATGACGTTGCAGAAGAATTACACAAGGCAAAAGGAAATGCCAGCGTTTGGTAAAATCATCACTGTTGGTAGAAGCATTAAATAATGACAAACACTGAAGGATCAGCCACTCTGGAGCTGGGAAAGGGAGCTGCTGTTGCCCATTTAATAAGCCTAGTGGGAGATTTTAGAGCCCTGCTGGCGGAAATGCTTTTATGAAATCCAGCAACAGCAGCCAATGCAGAATAAACACAATGAAGATTTTGACCGTTAGAGCTTGCACTGAAGAGAAGACAGGAGCTTGCTCTTCTAATACACCTTGGCCTCCACAGAGCTAGCCTGCTCATTTCTATCTTATTCGTTAGGAATGTAGGCACAATAATCTGTTTTGTTAGTGCTTTATTTTTCTGAGCTAACTCTTCAGTCTTCTGTAAGGAGTTTCTTCAGTATTTGAAAAGTGCAGAATCTCTGGGTCATTGGCTGTTCTTTAATACTAGTTTAGATTCCAAAAGATTATATGCTATCCCTTGAAACTAAGATTTATTTTCTTCTTCTTTTTGGTGTAATGTAAGATACTATAGGTAGCATTATAGACTTTATTCAATTTTTACCAGGTATTTATATATGTATATGAGGAAGGGTTTGGTTGCCCAAATGTTGCTCTATTGCAAATTCCTTGAGAGCAGAGGTCATGATATATCTTGAGGTTTTTTTAGTGGCTAAAATACAGAGACACTTTAATCAATAATCATGATATCAATGCTTAATGTGACAGGCTTATTCAGAGATCTCACACAACAGAGAAATTCCCTGAGAATATTACCGCATTTAATGTAAATTTAACATTTTAGAGACCATTATTAGCAGGTATATTTGCTCGATTGCTGTAAAATTGTGATTTTCTTCATCTCTAACATGATCACACATTTTTCACATTAATCTGAAACTCTAGTAGGAGACTTTGTTAATACAGATTGTGCTTTTATTTCTATTCTAATCATATCCTGAAAGTAGTTGTATGTTATGTATTCACTTATGAGAGTTTGTTGAACTTTCCTTTGAATATTGCCTTTAATCTTCATGAGACCTCTGTTATATAGCCAAAATATTCCTGAATTCTAGAAACAAAATGCCTCTCTTTTGTAATATTCTCAAAATGGCACTTTTGAAGATCTTTGCTTGTGACCCAGTCTTTATAGAATTTGGTTTTTCTTATGGATTATTTGGTGCTGCACTCTAAGAAATATTGTGCCTTTATGCCAAAGAGACCACAGATTATGATAAAAGAATATTCAACAGATGCTTTTATCTGAATTCCACTATTTATATTTTTCTCCTGGAAGGACACAATGATGTTTTAGTAAAATGGGCATTTCTGAATTTATCATGTCATTTAAAAAGTGAGCTATGTTTGGGAATCATTTGAGAGAAAAATTGTTTAGTATATAATTCAACATTCTCCATTTTTGGTCTTCATACTCACACATATTATATTTATATATAAGTTATGCCTGGGCAATGAATGCAGGAAAAACTGAGATTTGACTTGGAAGAGAGAGTGTCTCATACACATCATCCACCCCCTGTCCCCCTTCTGTTTATTTACATGAAGTTTTATTTTAAAACAAAGTCTCACTTCCCATTTGGGTAATCTCATTTGCTATTTTCTTTGGGTAATAGAAACATTTTTTCTGCTTAAGCTTGAATATTGACTGACTAAAGTAAATCTGAATTTCTAACTTTTAAAACTATTCAAAAGATATAAAAGAAAAAGCTCCAATGTGATTCATAAAATAGAGAAAAAGGTGAAGTGTTCAATTCACATGCTGCTGCAAAATTTGTTGAAACCTATTTATTTTAGAGTTCATTATAATATCTTTTCAATATTTCTAGGAAAAAAAACATGTCATTCTCTAGGACAGGGTCACAGAGTGAGTGGACTTTCTCTGTAAAGGACAAGAGAGTAAATATTTTCAATTTTTCAAGCTAGCTGTATGGTCTCAACTCTGCTATTATAGGTTGAAATCAGCCATAGGCAATACTTCATGAATGGGTAATACTTCATGAATGGGCATTTTTAACTTATAGATAAAGAAAACTTTATCTATAAGAAAGGCTTGCAGCCAGACGCAGTGGCTCACACCTGTAATCCTAACACTTTGGGAGGCCGAGGCGGGCGGATCACAAGATCAGGAGTTCAAGACCAGCCTGGCCAACATGGTGAAACCCCATCTCTACTAAAAATATGAAAATTAGTTGGGCATGATGGCGCGCTCCTGTAATCCCAGCTACTCAGGAGGCTGAGGCTGGAGAATCACTTGAACCCAGGAGGCGGAGGTTGCAGTGAGCCAAGATTGTGCCACTGCACTCCAGCCTGGGCCACAGAGTGAGACTCCATCTTGAAAAAAATAAAAAAAGAAAGGCTTGCAGTTTGGGTTGACACACATGGTCTTCAGGATTTTCCAACTTCTCTTCTAGGAGGTAGGCATCTAATGAACAACATGGGATAAACAGAAAGCAGAAAGGTAAATTGTGTAGGAAAGGAGTCCTGGGATTTATTTCCATCTCCTCATTAAGGGTAGAACCTTGGATACCTCTCCGCATTTTCTTGCCAAGCAAAACATTATCTTTTTAAGAATTCTATCTTTTAAGAATTCTATCATATTCATAAAGATTATAATTTACAGAAAACCCTTTAGTCTTCTTTTATGGTCACAATAGAGGCATACTCAAACAGAGGATTATTTTTCAATGCCATTTTCATCTTTGTTATAAATTTATTAAAAGAGAAATATGAAATAGTGTTAATGATCAATATACTTTTGGGACCCCTTCTATAGAATGGGTACAGTATTGATAAAGATGGTAATCAACAGAGAGTAAGAAATCTAGACTTACAACAGTATGTTTCTCCGCACCCCCATGTTTCTGGTTAAGAGTGAATAAGAACCAATTCTTTGAAAAATCCTAAAATCAGTCTATTCTAATTACAGGTCAAACGCAGAACTTTAAAGACGCCTTTTCAGGAAGAGATTCAAGTATTACGCGGTTGCCACTGGCTTTTTATTATGGAATGTATGCATATGCTGGCTGGTAAGTTGATAGCTCCAGATCTGGTGGTTTGCGTAGTTCATTAATCCCATTATGCACTCAGATTAAGTGCCAAGCAAGGTGCCAGGCAAATGTGAATAGCCATAATCCAGTGTGATAGGCTTTACTTGAAATGAGAAATAAGGTATTATCCCCTCCACCAGGCCAATTACTTTGCACATGACAACTAAACATAACAGGTTTCCAGTCAAGGTGACTGCTAGATTTAGCCTGATGTCATAAAAAACAAACAAATGCTGGGTCTTAAGATCCAATAAAAATTACTTATAAGTATGTACCAGTAAGGACATAATAGTGCCGTAAGGTACTAAAGAATAATACTTCGCTTGTCAAAAGGCCTTTCAGCTAAAGCTCCAAGGGTGTTTACAAATAGTGATTAATTGATTTTTTTTTCCAGCTTCTCGTGAGAGAAGTAACTCAGATGTAGAAATAAGTATGACATTCCCAGAAGGTAAATGGTAATCTAAAGGCAGAGAAAGAGAAACCAAGATAATGCAGTCAACTCTTCTAGACAGTCTATTACATTTAAAAGGACCTTACATGTTCCTTAAAATGTCCCCAACATCTGAAAATTTAAAAAAGTGAAGATGATTAAAATCATGATGCCACAGATATATTTCCTTTGATGTATGTCCACCTGTGATACCTACCTTTCTAGTTAAGGCATTAAAACTTTGTATTTGTACCTTATTTGTTCAGATACTTGAAAAACAGTAATCATGTAATCATGGATAAGAGTGGGACTTTCTCTTCAGTAAATTTTATTGACCTTGTAAGATTTAGTTGAGATGATGGTTGCAAGAAAGCCTACAAGGTATTATTTAATTATCAAAATCATTGTAGTAAGATTAAATTTCATTGTTTTGGGATAAATCATGGCAATGTTTATTTTTTAATTATCTATAAATCTCATTGTTATACAGCTTTAGCTGTGAGAATGATCTATGAGCCTGGAAGTAATATTAGGAAACCACACTAGCTAAAAAATTATATGAATGCATTTCCAACACAAATATAATTCCTTTTGTTTTTTTAGTTTTTAAGATCTTACCTTCTAGCCGATGCATGGAATATGGATATATTTCAAAATGAATGGAGCGTTTACCCTATTAATCTCATTGAATTATGAAAATATGGTATTAGAGGATAATTAGGGGGTATGGGAACTTAAAATCTTAACATGGCCTTTGAGGCAAAATATGCTTGAAGATTGTTAGAAGATTATAGCTCTAAGGAAATCAGTGTAAAATATTTGTATATTCCCAGAATATTTTTATAACCATTATATGTAAGCATTAGTTTTGAATCACTCAGTATTTTTGAAGTCTTTTTGCTTTTGTCTGAAGCACAATGTGGTGCTAGACATCAAAAGAACTGAGCGTGATCACAGGGTTAAAGCAGAATCAACTGTTCTATGGCTATTCAGCCTGGATCAGAGCTCTGTGCCCTGGGGCTGAAGCCAAGCTACTGGGAGGGTCACTGGGAGACACCAGAGCAAAGCGGGGAGGTAGAGAAAGCTTTCAGCTACAGCCAAGTGTTGGGAGCCGGGCAATATGCAACCACGAGTGTGGAATGTGAAGATAGTCACAAGGGAGGTTTGATTAATTCTGTTGAATGAAATTTCTTTTGCCTGAGAGTACGATAGATCTGTTCCCATGCCATCTTAAAATATTCTTTTACCCTCCTCACTTTTCTAATACCCAGAACTAAAAATTCAGGTCACTTGCTTTATGTAGAGCAAAATTTCTCCGCTTATGTAGGCTTTTGAGGGCTGATGAATTTCTCCATGGATGAAGACCCTTTTCATTTTGAATTATTGTACTAATATTTAACTTTATTGATGCTGACCCCAAAATGTTTCTCTGATTACAAGGTAAAAGGGGTTTACATGAATCTTTTTTAATACTTTTACCCATATAATCCTCATGTCTACTCCCTATTTGAAAGACCAAAAACCATTGATTTCTTTATATCCTTGAGGGTTCAATCACAGTATTGGAAAATAAGTCCAGGATTTAAAATGGAATGTTATCTGATACAAGTGGCTTATGTAGGGGACAGATAAGTAACCGTGTTTCTATAACAGGTTGTTGTGCTACCTGAATGCTGCTTTGTGAAGACGCAGAAATAATCTGGCTGTTAATCTATGGTCATCAGTCTTAGAAAAAGGAAGCTGTGTTTAGAAAAAATATAGTCTGTTGGTGTGGGGTTCTAGAGGAAAAGTTATTATCTGGATGTAAATGAAACAAGATGGAGGCTAAAAGAATTCCAAAGAGAGGGGCATTTATTCACTTGCCAAATGTGATCTCGCCTTTCTGACCTTTCTCTCGCTTTCAAGATATAATTACAAGACTGGGTTGTAGAATTATCAGTGGGTAAGTGTAAATGATTCTCCACTCCCTATGCTGCTGCTATGACAATGTTTGATACCCCCCTAATAAAAGGGCATTGAAAATGAGTAAGTCAGAAGCAAAACAGCTATTGTCATCAGAGCTTACCGCCCAGCCTGTTAGCCTGTAAGTAAAAGCTGCAAGACCATTGTTGTCCTGGAGACCTTGCTCTGCTAGCAAGGAAAAAGATACCACCAAGCCCAGGGTGGGGATATGAATAGTGGAGGTTTTTGTCTCTGAGGAATGCTGAAACTTTCTAGAATGATAAAGCTACTTCACAGAAACTTGAGTAGGGGAAAAGAAATCATTAACCCAGTCAGGTCACACAGTTGGGTCGGAACAATGTTAATAACATTGCCAATGTCTGCGTTCAGAGAAATACATCTGCCAGTCCCCCTTGTGGCCCTGGGGAACTCAGTCCCATATCCTGATCCAAAGCTAAACATTGCTTGGTAGGGTTTTCTTTTTTTTCAATTGTGTGATAGAAAATCGTTTTTAGTGTCTTTTTCTCTTCCTTTTAAATCCTATCCCCCTCTATGGATTTAGTCTTTCTAAAGCACTTGCTGGGATTATTTTGTACTGTTGTGTCAAATCTAATCTAAAGAATAAGCTTCTTTTAAAAATAATTCACATAGTTGGGTATTGGAATGCATTGCTAGCATTGCAGTACCTTTTATGCACAATCATGGAAAAGCTGGAACAATAGATCTTATGAGCATTCGCTAGAGTCCTTGAAGTGTTGTAAACCAAAGAGAATATCATGGTCATTCCTGGAGACTAGAACGTAAAGGTGGATTTCCCACAGGATGTGTGAATGTTTGGACTAAAACAAGAAGCTTTCTCCTTCCTACTCACCATCCTGCTCCAAGCCCTTTCCTTTTCTCTACTCCCTGGAGCTGTGGCAAATATTTGAAATTGTGTTCTATTTTTCATAAATATTTTCTTTCTTGCTTTAACATTGTGGGAAAAGACTACTTTCTAAAACAACTGTTAGGAAGGAACTGGCTATTTTTGACATGAGAAGCCTAAAAATATTTCTTGGGGTGTGTGATTTTTCATTGGTGGTGGTGTTTGTTTTTTAGTGTGCATGTGTTTTTTTTTCTTTTTTCTTTCCCTACTTCCCATTGCCTCAGGCTTATAGCAAACACATCAAACCCCTCTTGGAGTGCATATTGCAGATATAAGTACTGATTGTTGCTTGCTTTCATGGTGTAACTACAATCTCTATTTATAGAAACTTATTTTCTAGTCATTAGAAAAATCTTTGGTTGCTGACTTTTTAGATCACCGTTACTGCTACTGTTCTGTCAGCTCCTCAATTATTTCTACTTAAAACAGTCCTTAAAATTGTAGACACTTTAACCTTGAACATCAACTGACTACTTGTGAATTTAGGTGGTTTTATAAAGATGGAGCAAGACAGGTTTCTTCATCTTTGTTTTAGCTGGTGAGATACTTAAAGTATATTAAGAGCTGATGGACTTATATTCCAGCCACTTGATTTTCGATTTTAGAGAATTTGTACCTATGAATCTGTGCTCCTGCATACCTATGTAAAAGGTTACTTTTAATAATAATAAGATAATGGAAGATTATATTGAATATATGATTTTTTTTATTTCACAAAAATTTTCTAAGCATAGAAAAGGAAAAGGTAGAAAAGTCTTTGCCTTCATATGTTTGGCTCTTTCTATAGTAATCCCTCTGTCACACTTGTACTGCAGTGTACGGGTGCTCATTTTCCTGTGCCTAACCCCTCTGCCACACTTTTGTGCTCGTGTGCTATTCTCAGTCTGGAATGGCCTCACACCACCTCACCAGGGTAAGATAAAGCAGTTCTTAAAGGTTCAAGTTGGGTGATGCCTCCTCTAGAAAACCCCCTTTGACCTACCAGGTTGGGCTAGACCTGCCCTCTGGCTCCCACGTGCTTGCTCCAGTATTGGACCTGCACTGTATCACACTATTCTGTGGGACATTCTATGAGCTATGAGCTCCTTAAGACTATGGGCTTACCACTTGTATATTTCTGACACATGATAAAAACTCCACAAATATGGCTTAATAGAAAAATGACTTATGGGAGTATTTAGTTGTTAGATATTTTCATCTTACTATAAGTATTGTTATAGTTTTCATAATTCTGGGTTCAATGTTAAATATTTAAAATTTGAGACTTTGGATAATGGTAAAATATATTAATAGTTTATAATTTATTTATCTATTTTTAGGTTTTACCTCAACTTTGTTACTGAAGAAGTAGAAAACCCTGAAAAGTAAGTAGCCAGATGTACCCTGAAATTTTTATGAAGAATAAAATTTAAGATTACATAGTTTAAAAAGCAGACTTGAAGAAGGAATTCAGTGTGGGCTAGTCAACCTTAACATCGTCATCATCATCACTATAATTCTCTTAGATAAGATTTATTTGACTTTATCATAAATTATATACATAATTATATTTATAATTATATACAAATAGCTTAATTATATAGTCTACATTCAATACTAAGTTGTCTTTTAACCTGAAAATAGGAAATAATAAAGTTATATTTTAGGTAGCCTATCCCATATAAACACATACATATAACTTAATACGGACTCTAAACTACCCACGGGATAGCTTGAACTCAAAAAGTTAATTATTTCTAACAATTCATGTAATCTTTTTTCATAACTATCGAATTAAAGTGAGTAATGTAATTAATAGACGACTAGTTACAAAAGCCTAGAAATACCTGCAGAATGTTATAGGACCTTATAAATTTGGGGAGCTGGATAAGTTTTACTCTTTCTTTCTAGGTAACAACTTGATAAGTAGATGATTTGATGATGATTTATGTAATATTTTCAAAATGAACTAACTTAGGGAAAAATGAATTATTCTTATAATTTGTTCATAAACATTGGATTTGCTACAGGAAAAAATAATTCATGGGCAAAAGAGGGAAAATGTAGGAACTGTAGTATAGTATAAAATGTAGACTAAATTATAAAGTTATTTAATTCATTTTACTTTATTGAACATCTGCTATGTTCCAATCATTGTGCTGGGAACAGCTTTCATGATGCATAAGACTTGTCTTGAAGTATTTTATTGACTAGTCAATGAGTCAAATGTGTAAACAAATAGATGTAACAGTGTGATTGGTACCAAAATAGATTATTTATCCAGTTTGGCAAAAAGGAAAGAAGGAAATACTTGTGTATCTAGGGAGATGTTGTTTATAATAGTGTCTCAAATGATGAGTAGGTGTTCCTTAGGTAAATATAAATGAGAGAGAAGAGGGGTATGGGAGGAGAGAGAGAGAGAGATAGAGAGAGAGAGGAGAAACACAAACACAAACAAACACACACTGATTTCTAGGAAAAAGAACAAGTACAAAGGTGCATCAGTATGAAATAGCCTGGACATCAAAGAATATACCTAAGGGTTGACAATTCACACTAAGATAGACTAGGAAATTCTGGCACCTGGTATCTTGGGAAATGGTAAACTGATGAGATCTGGCCAAGTACCAGGAATGTCGGAGTTTAGAACACATAAGCCAGCAATTGGTATCTGATTCAACTGCTATGCAAATCAATATGTAATTTAAACATGTGAAAGGCCATTTTATTAAGAAATATGACCAATTTATGCCAATATTGTCATATCTATAACTGGAATTGTAGGTCGAGAACACATATTTACCAAGAGCTAGTTCTTTCTAAGCGTTACTTGGAAATGACAAGCTACCTTACGACTGTAAACCCATTGATTACAGAGATAAATAGGTTGGCCTGCCTTTTTAGTTTTTGAGAATAACTTGTATGTAAGCACCAGCATAGAGAAAAGACAGTTAGTACTGGATATAATATAAAATATGTATTGAATTTCTATTACGGGAAATAAATTACTATGGTTCGTAACTATGTATGTTAAGTCTAAAGACATTTTAAAGACATCAATTACTAGAATTTAACATGAGAATATTTTTATAAGCAAATGGCAAATTGTAGGGTTGCAGACAAGACCTATAACATAACATTTATTATATGATTCATCAGTGGTGTAGATATAATTCATATTATCTTTAATATTATTTAACAGTTTAAGTGTGATTTTTGTTTGACACATATATAGTAATACTATTGTGTATATTAAGCATATCTTGAAGCTAGTTATGCCGTTATTACCTCAACCCAAATTTCTGATGTATTCTACTAAACTGTGTTCCAATTAAGGATTGTCTCCTTCTCTTCTTAAATTAAAGGGCCTTAGTTGCACACTACTGATAATGTCCATGATTTAGTGCACACAGATACTAAGGAACAGTGATGGTGATGTATTGATTCAGTGTTTTTTTTTTTTCTGTTGCAAAGAAATTCCCTTATCTAAAAAATGGAAATAATAATAACACATACTTCACTGGGTTGTGTTGATGAATTAATATGCATAAAGTGCTTTAGATTAGTGACTGTCACTTTTTAATTTCTACATAATTGTTTGGTTGTCATTACTACTATTACTGTTATATACTTTATTAGAGCAAGGTAAATGTTATTCACAGAATAGTGTTTTCTAGAATTCAATATTCCAAGCAATTATTTTTCTTCAGAGCTTTTGAAAGAAATGTGAAAAATTACACCATTTTGAAGCTTACTTTCTAAACTTTTAGTGTCAAACCTCATATGCATTTTTGATCTCTATTATGCATTCTTGATCCATAAAATATCTTTATGGGATATCTATGCTATCTCGATGCATGCATACGATGTGTAATGATCAAATCAGGATAATTGGGTACTCATCACCTCAAACATGTATCTTTTTTTGTGTTGAGAATATTGCAAATTTCTCTTTTAGCTAATTTAAAATATACTATGTTTTTGATAACTACGGTTACTTTACTATGCCACTGAACACTAGAACATGTTTTATCTAACTGCATTTTTGTTTTCAATAACCAACTTATCTTCATTACTTTCTCCTTATACTTTATAACCTAGGTAACCATCATTTTACTCTACCTCCATAGGGTCAACTTTTTTTTAGCTCACACGTGAGTGAAAACATACAATATTTGTCTTTCTGTGCATGGCTTACTTCACTTAATATAATGTCCTCCAGGTTAATCTATGTTGCTTCAAATAACTGAGGATTTCATTCTTTTATTGAATGAATAGTATTCTAGTGTGTGTTTATATATATTTTCTGTATCCACTTATCCATGGATGGACTCTTAGATTGATTCCATATTTTGGCTATTTTGAATAGTGCTGCAATAAACATGAGAAAGCAGGTATCTCTTCAGTATACCGATTTCCTTTCTTCTGGATATATACCCAGCAGTAGGATTGCTGGATCATATGGAAGTTCTATTTTTAGTGGTTTGAGAGCCTCCATATTGTTCTCCATATTGTCTGTACTAATTTACATTCCCACTAACAGTGAATTTTAGATTCAGGGGGTACATGTGTGGCCCCTGAATTTAAAATAAAAGTTTTTTTATTTGTTATATGGATATATTGCATGATGCTGAGGTTTGGGGTATGAATTATCCTGTTACTGTTGGGTATGGGGCATAGTACCCAGTAGGTAGTTTTTCAGCTTTTGCCCCACTCTTGCCGTCCTTACTCTAGTAGTCCCCAGTATTTATTGTTCCCGTCTATGTGTTCATGAGTACCCAATGTTTACCTCCCAATTATAAGTGAGAACATGCAGTATTTGGTTTTCTGTTTCTCTGTTAATTTGCATAGGATAATGGCCACCAGCTGCATCCATGTTGCTGTAAAGGACATGATATCATTCTTTTTTATGGCTGCATAGTACATGTATATGTACCACATTTTCTTTATCCAACCCACTTTTGATGGGAACTAAAGTTGATTCCATGTCTTTGCTATTGTGAATAGTGCTGCAATAAACTTATGAGTGCATGTGTCTTTTTCATAGAATTACTTATTTTCCTCTGGATATATAACCAATAATGGAATTGCTGAGTCAAATAGTAGTTCTGCTATAAGTTCTTTGAGAAATCTCGCAACTTCTTTCCACAGAGGCTGAACTAATTTACATTCCCACCAACAGTGTATAAGCATTCCCTTTTCTCCACAGCCTTGCCAACATCTGTTATTTTTTGACTTTCTAATAATAGCCCTTCTGACTGATGCGAGATGCTATCTCATTGTAGTTTTGATTTGCATTTTTCTGATGATTAGTGATGTTGAACATTTTTTCATATGTTTGCTGGCCATTTGTATGTCTTCTTTTGAGAAGTGTCTCTTCATGTCTTTCATCCACTTTTTAATAGGATTATTTGGTTTTTGCTTGTTGAATTGTTTAAGTTCTTTATAGATTTTGGATATTAAACTTTTGTCAGATACATAGTTTGTGAGTAATGTCTTTAATTCTGTAGGTTGTCTGTTTACTCTGTTGATAGTTTCTTTTCCTGTGCAGAAGCTCTTTAGTTTAATGAGGTCCCACTTGTCAATTTTTGTTTTTGTTGCAATTGCTTCTGAGAACTTAGTCATAAATTCTCTCCCAAGGCCAATGTCTGTAGTGGTACTTCCTAGGTTTTCTTCTTGGGTTTTTAGAGTTTGAGGTTTTACATTGAAATATTTAATTCATCTTGTTAAGTTTTGTATGTGATCAAAGATAGGGGTCCAGTTTCATCCTTCTGCATGAGGCTGGCTGGTTATCCAGGTATACCATTTATTGAATAGGGAATCCTTTCCCTGTTGCTTATTGTTGTTGACTTTGTTGGAGATCATATGGTTGTAGGTGTGTGACTTTATTTCTGGGTTCTTTAACCTGTTCCATTAGTTTATTTGTCTGCTTTTGTACCTGTATCATTCTGTTTGGGTTACTGTAACCCTATAGTATGGTTTGAGGTCAAGTAATGTGATGCCTCTGGGTTTGTTCTTTTTGTTTGGGGTTGCTTTGCCTATTTAGGCTCTTTTTTGGTTTCATATGCATTTTAGAATAGTTTTATCTAATTATGTGAACAATGGTGTTGGTAGTTTGATAGGAATAGCATTGAACCTGTATATTGCTTTGGGCAGTACTGCCATTTTAATGAGATTGAGTCTTTTAATCCATAAGCATGAAATATTTTTTCGTTTGTTTGTGTTATCTATGTTTTCTTTCAACAATGTTTTATAGCTCTCCTTGCAGAGATCTTTCACTTCCTTGGTTAGATGTATTTCTAGGTATTTTTTGTTGTCATTTGTGTGGCTGTTGTAAATGGGATTGCATTCTTGATTTGGCCCTCAGCTTGAATGTTATCAGTGTATAGATATGCTACTGATTTTTGTACATTGGTTTTTGTATCTTGAAACTTTACTGAAGTTGTTTTAAACACAGAAAATGCTTCCAGAAATATTGATGGGTGAATATCAAACACAGATGGTAAAATTATGTGGACTTAGCCCAGATGTGTAATTTGCATTATTTTTTAGGTAGATACAGCTTCAAAATACCTTTAGTTACAAGGGAGAATAATTATGATTCCATCTTCTTTGTGATGTGCCAAGATAAATGTGTTTCCCAATCAGTCATGGATACATGTGTCCAGGTGTGCGGCAACATGCAACTTTCTGGCAGCTGGTGAAATGAATCATCTGCTGAAAATACAACACCCTTTATGGTCTTCCTCCACCTAGACAATAAAATTTTCCTAAATTTGTGACCTAATAGAAAGATGATAATTAATTTAGATTAGTGAAAATACCAATGTGTATTAAAATATATAGAATTCAGAGTAAGTTTCCATGATCTCAATTGACTACACTTTAGGTGTAATTTCATTTTGAGACATCTTTCAAATTATCTACCATTACTCCAAGAAATAACTTTTGAGCTGCTATTATAAGTAGGTGGTATAGGACAGTTCCTTAAGTGTTGTATCGAATGAGAGACAAAGGTGGGCAAAATTTCTGTTTGTGTGATTACATTTATAATGTTAAGAAATTTTGCCATGATCTTTCTTACAATGTTTTCTTCTCCAAGAATAGCTTTGAATTTATGGAAGTAGCAATCTTTCAAATACAACAATTGCTATTGAACTTTTATAATAAGAGTATTGCCTTTACCAATTATCTATAACATTATGGCTGACTCCACAAATTAATATATTGGAGTAAGGATTGTATTTTGAGGGACATGAATGTCCAAAGTTTGGACCATGAAGATGATAGAATCCCAAGGAATAACTGAATTTTAAAAGGCTTTCCCCCCAAAAATGGCATATATATAGTAGTAATAATTGCTACTGTGTACATTTGTTTTAAAAAATCCTAGTGCTTGTGCAAGTGTAATGAATTTTGCCTTATGACATGACTTTTGTGGTGACTATGCAATCTGTCATTGTTCAAAAAGTTACACAGTGCAAAGAACATATCATTGAGATGTATAATGTTTGTAATCCTGCTCTTAGATTGATAAATCATATCTTGTGTTGATGAAAGCCAAGAAATGAATTGCTTTTCTTTGACCTTGGGGGTCTGAGATTAGCCACTTTGTCTATTAGCCTTATTCCAGTGTTCTTCTCACTTCATTTATTCCTTCTGTTTTGAAGAGCTGGAAATAGTAGACTTAGAGGAAGTCAGTAAACCTTGATATCATCAGTCATTTTTGAAAAACAGGCTATCAACACGCTCTGAATAATCAACTTTAATAGAAGGTTTAAATAATCAGAGTGTCATGTTTAATTAATACTTTGCCTACTTCCAGTTTATATTAATTGATGCCTCAAAGTCATCACACCTTGTACCAATGAAAACCTCGAAGAAGTGAAACTTGGTTTGGGAAAAATGCCCAAAGACCTTTAAGGCAGTGTGATCAACCAGATTGGTCTACAAATGGTCCACAATCATGTTATTTGCATTCAGTTCAGATGCTGCCGTCTTAAAATCTTAGTGTATCTGTATTAATTCCTTATTGACTGTGTAATTCTTTACAATACTGTTTTATAAGGCCTATTGCTTGTAGGACAGTTTTATAACCGTTACCTGAGTAAAAAACATAAGAAAACAAAATAGGCAAAATATCTTGCCCAAATGTGTTGTAGCAAAGTTACATGACTAAAGAATAAAGGTTAATTGAAGCCTTTTATCTTGCATTTTGACAACTTGGGAATGCGGCTTGCTTTCTTTCTCCTTTTATTTTTTGAGACGGAGTCTCACTTACTGTGCTGCCCAGGCTGGAGTGCAGTGATGTGATCTTGGCTCACTGCAACTCCACCTCCCAGGTTCAAGTGATTCTCATGCCTCAGCCTCCCAAGTAGCTGGAATTACAAGCATGTGCCACTATGCCCAGCTAATTTTTGTATTTTTAGTAGAAATGGGGTTTCACCATGTTGATCAGGCTGTTCTTGAACTCCTGATCTCAAGTGATCCACCTGCCTCAGCCTCCCAAAGTGCTGGGATTACAGGTGTGAGCCACCACACCTAGCCAAGAATGCATCTTTCCATGAGAGACAAATATTCCTCTTTATATGCATTTAGTTTTCTAACTTAATAGTCGCTAGAAAATAACATATAATATTGTAACTGTATATGTGCAGATTACAGCAATATTGTATTTTGTAATCTTTTTATTACAAGTCAATGTTATCTACATTCTTAGACAACATTAAATATTACTTTAAAGAATATTTCCAAAGTTTCTACTACAAATACTCAAGTTATATGTTTTTAAGATATGTATTAATTTATTTACAAGTTTATAAAGATATTCCCTGTGGCAAAATGAGGCATCTTTTTACTAATGACAATATGACATCATTAGAATTATCTTAAAATGTGACACTGCTTTTCTTCAATTGTTGAAATAATTGATACCTAAATTAGAATCCCTCTGGGGGTTTTTTTTTTTTTTTTGCTTTTCTTTAGAAAATATACATAAAGCTTGATTAATCCATTTTTAAATATGTTTCACAGTAGAAATAGAATTGTGCTAGTTGAGCCACTGAGGCAGACAAAAGATCGGTATTTGGCCAGATGTCACAGAGAAGAGATGATTCTGTGTTCAAAGAACAAGGTCACCAAATTGCTCTTCCTTGCTTTTGTTCACTCTAAAAATTTCGCACTAATAGAACATGTGGTTGATGTACCTTGGGATCAAAATTCTTGCATTTCTCGGCATCACATATGCATAAAAAATACATTTTGCCCAAAGATAGTTTGTTCATATAAGGCTGAAGTGTCAAATAAGTGGTGCAGAAATTATAGGATTATATTATAATATTTTATCATGGGGTAATCAAAGAAGACAGATATTAATCCTTCAAGTGCTTTGTGGAAGCTATTTAGCTTTTCTTTCTTTCTTTTTTTAATTGTAAGGATTCCAATTCCACTATGAGGCAAAATTTGAAGGGCGATGCTTTACTTTCTTTCATAATAGTTGTTTGAAAGTTCTAATTTTAATCTCATTGAGTTTTATATTTTGAGGCAATATATATAAATCTTTTGAGGCTATATATATATATATATATAAATCTCATTGAGTTTTATATTTTGAGAACAATAAACTCTTGTTTTAGGAGCAACAACAGTGGCTGGTTTAATTTTATCCTATCTTTTTGTTCCCTTTAGCTGAGAGAGAGGGAGGGAGGGAGAGAGAGGGAGAGGGAGAGAGAGAGACAGAGAGAGAGAGAATACAAGTGGTGTGATGAGTAGAATAATAGAATCACAGAATTTCAAAATTAGAGGGGACCTTGAAGACCATCTAATCCTTTTTAACCAGATGCAGAGATCTTCTCTATAATACCTTTACACAGCAATAATTCATGTATGATAAATTGAGAAACTCACTGTTAATATAACTTCCTTGAACTGGGCTATCAGCCTTTTTTACTTCCTTATGCTGGTTAGCAACCTGCTAATTGCTATGACTATTTCAAGCCTAGATAAATTTTTGGTTAGCTGGCATAAAAGATGGGTCAAATATTTTGACTGCAATAGATAACAACCAAAATGAGAGTTAAATAAAGTACACCAGAGATTCCAGAGTTGGAACCCTGTTATCTGAAAAGAAATACCTTCCATAATCAGAAGCATTAAGTCAGCCATTATATTGTCTCCAGCTTTTCAGTCCACACTTACATAGCACCCCTCATTCATATTCTTATTTATGCACGTAAGCTACCTTTGTTCTTTTCTATATGTCTGGATTTGAAAGTTAGGTGATTGTGACCAAAATGAGGTTCACAAATAAAGCTTACATTCTGTGTCATACTTGGTGAAAAACTTCTTAGACAACTAAAATCTAGTCCAAGGCCTGGTGCTGTCTGGGCATTCATGCAGATGCAATGTTGTTTAAGATTCTCACTGAAATAGCATAATGTCACATGTAGTTCACTAAGGGTAGAGACAAGATGCATTCAGGTTATTATATTTACACACACCATGCACTGAAATCATTTTGATAACTTTATTCTAGTCACATTCAAACACTGACTTAGATTATTGATCTACTCAGGAAAATGAGCAACTTTTGAATTTGGATAGACACAAGCTAAAACTGTATTACCAATGTAAACATCTAAAATGAACCAAATGAAGTTGAGACTTTCCAGTGAAAAAAATATTTTCTTTACTTATATGAACTATAGAAACATCTACTTGCTGAGTCTTTGAAAATAGCACTGGTTCAGGAAATCAAAATTCTAATCCTGTCTCTTTTTAACTAGCTGTTTGACCTTGGAGAGACCTCTAAATTGCTTCCGAATCTTTGTTTACCAGTTTTAAATGGAAGATGATAATCCCTATATTATAGTTCTCATGGGGTTGTGAGGATAAAATATGTGAAATTCAAAAATGTTAATGAGCTCTGCAAGTAATATACAAACACCATCTGCAACCAAAACCTATATTCTTCAAAGATTAGAATATTTTATAATCTTTGAAAAAATTAGAGGATTAGCATAATTGTTTTATGAATAGGGAGTGCCTTTTCACATACATGACCTATTAATCAGCTTGAAAGGTTGTTCTGCATCATCAGCAAAGTGCCCAATTATTAGTAGTTAAAAGGTTCAGAAGATGATGGGAATCGCTATTTATTTTATAGTCTACTAACCTCCCTCAGGTGACAATATGCTCACACATCGTAATCAGAATGACTTCCTGGCAGATTTTTTTTTTTCTTCTTAACCAAATATTTGTATGCTCACACCCCTATTGTCATCGTCACTGTTGGCTGGTTGTGCTGATATAATGGATGGACTGTTTGCGTTTCTACTGAAGTCACCTATTTTTAGGTTTACTGTCTTACCAAGAAACTCCTTTACGAAATCTGACAAACAAGATCTTGATCTGAGTGGCTGGCATCATGTATTTTAATATTTTATTTTTACTTTTTCTAGAAAAGGAGCTATTCTGTTGATACAAAACAGAAGAATACAAATACAAGTCCACTCCCAGATAATTTTTATGCATTTTTGCTTAATTTAAAAATATAAGCCCATTATTAAAAATACAAACAGTATCTGCTTTCTGACAAGTAGATTGATTGCAGCGTAAAAGTAGCACCTCAGATTACTTTTAATAACATGATGTATATTATCTTCATTCTGCGCTGTAGAAAGCTGAAGTTCAGAGTAGTGAAGTAATTTCTCATGCCCATGTAGTTAGCCAATGAGAAGACCAGAATTGCAATCCATGTTTGCCTGGTTCTAGAGCTCATACTCTTTCTAACGCGACAGCTGGTTTTTGGGAAAACAAAGCTGATCCATGAGGGTACAAGGTGAATGGCTAAGGAAGTAATTTTGCTATGGAAAAGAAAGTTGGAGGAAGAGTAGAACCTAGAAGAGTAGAACAGAGAAGTGAAGATGTCTCGGGCAGCGGGTGAGCATACATACAGCCATAGAAGAATTCTTGGTTTTAGGGAATAGTATGTAGACTGTTTTGACTAAAGGAAAGGATTGTGAAGAGGAGTCAAAATCAAGATAGTAGTAGGATGTGGATAAGGGGATACAGCAACTCTTAGACTCTACTATAAGAATTTTGCATCTTATCCAGTAGCCAATGGTGGGATGGAGGGTGGGAAAACTGTTGCAAGTTTTGAATCTATGGGAAGCAGTGCTTGGAGACAATTAACTTTATGACAATTTTAGTGGATTTTCCTCTTGTGACACATATGCAGTTTTTAAAAATTTATAGTCCATGAAGATATGTTTTAGTTTTATTTTGCATGTTTATTTTGCTTTTTAATAAAAGCAAGTAACTCTGTTAATTGCCTCATACACCTGCATCATTGCTAAAGTCAGACAATATGATAAATCATGTGGCAGAAATTATGGCAAACAGCACCATAATCTCCACACTGTCCAAGTCCAAAGATATGGATTAAACTGCTTAGAGGAAAAGGATGCATCAGCATAGTGTTTACGTACTATGCAAAAATATAGAGCTATCTTTTTTTAATGAAAAAGATACTATCATTTATTTTCCCTGACAATGGAAGAACAAATGGGATTTAATTAAATAAGAATATAGTTCATTTTAAAATTAAATTTATATTTCAAAAGCATTGAAATGAGAATTTGGTTAGGCATTGGAATTCTCAAAATAGAGATAAAAAGGATTATTGTTTAGCCACAATTTAGGGGATATTCAGGTTGAAAAAATGACACACTAATGCCTAAATATGTTTCTAGTTCTAAAATATTATAGTTATCTTTTTAGATTACTGAATATATGAGAACAAATGTAGGGAAGCATGCCTTACACCACAGGCCTATTTTATTGGGGTGGGGAGGGAAGAAGGTGTCACGTACTTTTAAGGTAAAGGAAGTCCTTAGTTAGATTTTCCTTTTTCTTATAAGTGTGGTAAGGTCAAATAGAAATCTTAGGTCAGAGTTTCTAAATATTTTAAATAAGGTGTATTAAAGATCTGATTTTACTCATTTCGTATTCTAAGTGAAGGGCAGGTATAAGGAAGAGAGTAAAATAGCAATGCCAGTGCAGGATATGAGTCAGCCTGGGGACAACTGGCACTTCCAGGCACAGTGAGCATCACACTGGTGTTGTGAAGGTAGCTCTGCACTTGGAGTCAGGTGGCTACAGTTTTAGCTCTTGTTTTGTAAATATTTGATTTTATGTCCTTAGCTACATCTTTTGTCCTCTCTGAGCCTCTGGGTTATCGGCTGCAAAAAAGAAATGGTGGAGTAGCAAATTCTGAGTCTCCCTTCAACTCTAGTATGTTCTATGATTCTTGTCGATGACACACGAGTACCTAGTTTGACAAGGAGAGTACATGACTATGGGAGCATGGCTGAAGGGTGGAAATGTAAACAGAATATCTGTCTTAGGGACACTTTAGAAAAAGTGTCAAGAACATGAATCAAGAGAAAGGGATGCTATGGCCATTTTCCAGATCCCATGATGGTTAGGAGATTAGGCAGGACCAAAGTTTCCTCAGTTGTCTCAGAAAATGTTAAAAAGTTTGAATGGGTAAATGGAGGAAATGAGTCCAAACTGGCACCCCTTCAAAATGGAAACTTAGTTATTACATCTGAAGATCTAGGATCATATCCAACCTATAGAATTGAATTCTACTTAAGGGATCACCTTAAGTAGAGTGTCTTGTGATATAAGGAGTGTACCAGGAAAAATATAGATTTTAAAAATGCTTGTTAAGGGTGCCATTAATGTGGTATAATGATGAATCCCTAATCCTATTTACTACTTTTATTATATATGCCCACAGAAGATATAAAATGGTCTGTAGCCTCTGTGGTCCAGAAGGTTTATATTAGTCTTTTATTATGTGATTCATTATTTTTCTCAAGAGCATAGACATATGGGATTGCCCATAAGTATCCATAGATGCAATTATATGAGAGGAATCTTTTCTGATGGGTCTGCTACATTTCAGTATTAGACATTCCCCATAATTTAGTTAGGATTGCATTTATATATTTCTAATATGCTGCATACATAAAGAAAGAGAGGGAGCGATCCTTGTCATGACTTTCAAAAGTCTGCATTAATTCATTCCTTTTCCCACCTAAGTGGGTATTCTAATGCTTACCTTAAGATCGTTGTGAGAATTAGATATAATTTATGGCTGTGTCTGACAATGCTTTGCTCATAGTAGATACTTATTTAATGGTATGCTTTTTATTGGTATTAAACATCATGTCATTAGTTCATTTGTCACCCATAGGGACTATCAGATCAGGATTTGTGGACATGGGGAAGCTGTTTCTTTTCTTCTGTACTGCTTGACTGTTGGCTTTGAGAAAACCCATTCTCACGAGGGAAAAGACACTCTTACTTGAAACACCCGGCCATGGGAAATGACAATTATCTCAGTCTCAGAGTTGAAGCATTTCTAATCTCCAATGCTGGAGGTTGTTTTTCAAGAACATACAATATTTTTATAATTGTTTTTCTAAGGAGACAGGCTCATAGTTTTTTAAATCACATGGTTTTCCTGGCTATTTAGTGCTGTACCATATTATCTTTCTTTCCCTTTCTTATATGCTTTCTCTTAAAATTATAGAAGTGGAAGAAATACATCTTGCTGTGACAAAAGCTTAAACAATAACCCGTACTGATACATATTATTGAGAATGCAGTGATCAAATACAAAGGCCACTGTTTTATATATCAAGCTGTACAATACTATATGAAAAATAGTTCATGATATCAAGTTCATGGCATAGCATTAAAATAGGCCAAAATATGTAAAAACTAGAGCTTATAATACATAGCCATATAACACAAAATGAGATATTAAAGAATAGAATGTATGATTTTATGAGCAAAGTCATTTCTAGGTCCTGGGAGACTGCCCCTTGCACAATGCTTTTCTTGGTATCCCAAGTCCCACCTCTTCCGAAGAATCTCTTCTATTGGCTTTTCATGATGCTATTTCTTCTTCCTCCCTGATAGTCTATGGTCATGGCCGTTCTCTAAGAGATAGATAGCAAAGGATTTATTATAGTAATGTCTCTACATTTCAAAATGGTTTCAATTATCATATTACCCGTGTGTACAAAGAGTTCTCTACTTGGTTACCTTCTTCTATTCACACATTGACTTGGCTTAGTGTATTGGACTCATTGTCATAATTAAAACCACAATTAATTTGACCTTGAGAAAATAAATTGTCAAAGCCTGTGATGTTAGAGTTAGGAGGGGAGGAACCATCAAAATTCACAACCCTTTTATTGTGAAGCTAACGAAATAGAAGCCACAGAGATGGATTAATTTGTCTATATTTATAAGTTAAAATCCTGATCCTTTTCTAGTACTCTTTCCAAATGCTTAGTGTTGTTGAATAGAAATCTAAGAAAGATGGCTATGGCAAGATTTTAGCCTTGAAATTAGCTGGGGGAAATGTAATCATTAGAAGTGACCTCTATGTCATTTGAGAATAGAACAAAACTGCTTTTAAAAATGTGTCAGAGCATTAAAATTTGCCTGCATTTGACTTTCTAAAGCTGTTAGTCAAATAGATAATGAAAGAGGGTGCTAGGCTAGTTGAAGTAAGTTAATCCATTTCAGGTCGTTTACTGAAGGTCATTTGGTTAGAAGATTAAAATAGAAAGTTTACAATTAGGAAATGCTGAAATGTTAGAATATTATAAGGAAATAGCTGCTTTTTATTGTCTTTAACATCTTTACAGATACACTGGCTCTTAAAATAGGTTAAATATCATTTGTGGAGGCAATATTTAATTTTTCTGTTATTGATATTGTCAAACAAAGTCTCACTTTCTATATTCTGGCCTGAGGCAAGTAAAAGAGAAATTGAAATAGAAAAGAAGATTAACTTTGTTTTCAGCCAGAAAATGACAAAAAGAAACGAGGGAGATAGACAGCAAGTGGAGGTCATGATTTTAAGGTACTATTCGCTAGCTGCTCTGGGTCTTGTGGAAAAAGGTTAAATGTGTTTTAAATGTATGTAAGTGTTTAGCTATTTATTCCTCACAGTGCAGTGTCCTCTTGCCAAGGAGAAGTGATCAAGTGGCAAATGTTGGGGGAAAGCCACTAGAAATTGAACTCAATGATGTCTTTCTCTGAGCTGCGGAATTGTTTGTCTTTATGCCAAGTCACAACGTGGACTCTGAACTGCAGCAAGGGAGAAATCTTCAGTTTGAATACATAGGTGCTTTTCAAACCATTGAGTTTATGATGCAAGTCTGTGACTAGGCAGGGCAGGTATTTCCTGTTCTCTAAAAGATAGTGCTAGTTCTGCTCTATTGCTGCCATTTCTATAGCAATACCTGGGTGGAATTCCCTCCCTGCTTAACCCTGCCTCCTCCACTCCCTGCCTCTGATCTATGCGCACTTAGAAACACAGGATATCCTGATTATCCTGTTTCAGTATTTCTCATAATGGACACATATTGTTTATTCTATTTTTAAATGACGGGAACACAAATCTCTACCCAGTAGTTGTGGTCGATGATCCATTTAGTCAAATGAAGAAAGGAAAATTTATATGTATTCTGTACCTTATTGGAAGTCAAAGTAAAACTTTATGATTGTGGTAAGTATTTTCAGTAACAGTATATAGCATTTCCTCCTTTCTTTTAATAATAATAGATAAACAAATTTAAAATGCCAAAAAAATATGATGAAATTAAAAATCACCTGTAATATCTTAATCACATCAAATAAAAGTACTCACTGTTATTATTTTGATATTTTGTTTCCCCCACAGTTTGTGCGTGCGTGTGCATATATGTAGTGCATTATATTGCTTGAGATAAATGTAAATGTGCATTTTTCTTCCTAACTTTGGTGTTATATAATGTATTTACTTGTTTGTTTATTGTCTGATTCCCAAGGCCAGGGCTTTGTCTGTATCATTACTGCTGTATCCCTGACAGCTGGAAGGTTCTTCCAAGTGTGCCCTGCCATTTAGATTTGCTGCATCTCAAGCTCAACTCCAGCTCTTTCTACTTATGTGCTATAGATCTGTCTCACCGTCTTCATTTCATGTCATTTTATTATATTTTCGTATATCACCTAGATGTTAGTTAAGAACATTTTTAATGCTAGTATAATATTTCTTTGTGGGGATGTGCCAATATTCTTGTGCTCATTTTCTTGTTGGACATTGAAAACATTCCTAATGTTTCTTAATGTATTAGGTTGGTGCAAAAATAATAATAATTCTGGATTATACATTTCATATATAAATCCTTACATATCCAATTATTCTCTTAGAATAGATTGCTAGAAGAGAATTGCTGTGTCAAAGGCAACAAACTTTAAAATGGTCTGTCTATTATCAAGTTGCTTTCCAAAGTGGATATATTAATTTCCTCTCCCAATAGCAATAGCTAAGAATACTTATAGTGTTGGGTGTCATTATTTTAAAAAATCCTGGTTAATTGAAAGGCAAAAATTACACCTCATGGTTTGAAAATGCATTCATTTGATCACCAGTGAGGCTCAATACTTCCAGCATTTTTAGCAGCTACACGTGGTTACCATTTTGGAGCATGAATATTGGTGATTCATCAGAATTCTTTGTATATTATGGGTATTGATTCTTTATCTATTATATTATTTGTAAAAAGTTTGTCCCAGTTTTTCACATTACTCAATTTTCTTTATGATCACAGCTTACAAAACTTGTGGTTTTGTTTCTATAATTTGTAGTTAGATATAATAATCATTTTTTATTTCTGTATTGCTATTATGATCTGCAAATTTTTACATCCCTAGATCATTTTCATCTCACCCATATTTTCTGTTTGTTTGTTTTTTCTGGTTTCTTTTTTACAGCCCACTCTTTACCTTATCTGGAATGGATTTTTTTTTTAAACCTGATATAATATAGGCTCTTGACTTTCCCCCAATTTTCTCAATATCCCAGTATTAGCAAATAGTCATATTACTCCTTAGTTTATGATACTTACATTATATTATATTGATGATACTTTTTATTTATTATATTATATTTATGATACTTACAATATATTACATTGATACTTGTCATTATAATAATAAAATTAATGTATTTTTATGTTATATACTAAGTTGTATTTCAAGGCAATCTATTCCACTTGCCTTTTTATAGATATATCAACCAATTACTATATAATTTTATTAAAAGTTTGTAATACTCTTTTTTAATCTGAAGGGAAAAGTAGCCTCAATTATTATTATTTTTCTCTGAATAAGTCAACATTGAGTATAACTTGTATTTGCATAGAGGTCGTTTTTACTCTTAGCTGTTCAAGTGGATGAAGAGAATCTGTATAGTGCTTTTAAATTTAAAGCTCATGGTGTTTCAAATTATCTTGGTAGTGTTATCTCTCATAATTAAATCTGCTCTATATAAAGATATAGTCCATGTATATGGCTGAGTCTTTTATAGTCCAAAATTTATTTTTCTGTGTACTATGGTTTATTAACTTGACTTATTTTTCTTCTTTCAGATTTAAAAAATGTTAACTAATTAAAGTAACTTCCCAAGTACCTACCAATGACATTAATCTTCCTCTTTTTGTCTTTTGTTCTTTTTACCCCCAAATCCTATTAATACAGCAACTTTTTAATATGATTTTCTACTTTTCAGAATACTTCTTAACAACATAGCAAATGCCAAAATGTTAATGGAAGTATTAATGAAAACATGCAAAAAATATTTCTTTATGATTCTGATAATTATCGAAATTGCCTTAGATTAAACATGAATAAATTTAATTATTATATATGTATTCAAATAGTTGGATATATAATCCTGAGAAAGAATCCTTCACTACATATGTTATAAAAATGGTAATGAACACATTACCTAAGAAGTCTGCACTAGAAATAATAAGATACCTTTTCATTCTTGACATCTTTCTTCTTTTTGAACCAAGTATCTGTAGAAAAATATTTGAATCAAATTTTAATGAAATTCTTATTAGAGGTTTGCTACTTTTCTCACAAAATGGCAATATTGCCAGGCACGGTGGCTCACGCCTGTAATCCTAGCACTTTGGGAGGCCAAGGTGGGCGTATCACCAGAGGTCAAGAGCTTGAGACCAGCCTGGCCAACATGGTGAAACCCTGTCTCTACTAAAAATACAAAAATAAGCTGAGTGTGGTGGCAGTTGCCTGTAATCCCAGCTACTCGGGAGGCTGAAGCAGAAGAATTGCCTGAACCCAGGAGGTGAAGGTTGCAGTGAGCCGAGATTGTGCCATTGCACTCCCGCCCGGGTGACAAGAGTGAGGCTCTGTCTAAAAAATAATAATAAAATAAAATAATAAAAATTAAATTAAATTAAATTAAAAAAAGGCAACATCAATGTAAGCCTATTTCATAACAAGTCTTTTTTTCCCCATGGTGCTTCATCCTCACTTGGTATATTCTAAATATGCATACACAAAACACAATTGTGTTGCTCTTTCAACTTCAGTCGTCACGGAGGGAGCTCAGTATTTTGACAAGGAATGTGAACTGGCTGTTGTATATTTAGAAGTGAGTCTTCCTTGTGCTCCTTTCCCTTCCAAGTGTTGACATTATTTCAGTCTGTTGCTATTTTTCATTGGCTGGTTTCTCTAGATTAGTGAGGCCTGATCCTTTCCATGGCACTCACACCCTGTTTGTACCCAACTCCCCACTGGTGGCTGCTGGCTGATCACACCATGCTGTTTTCGTGTTTTATGGAGAAGTGTTCAGGTGTGGCTGCTGTGTTTGATATTAAATCTGAGATGAACTTCAGGAGATTTCCTGCTTTTTATTACAAATAATTTTGGCTAGGGGCAGTGTTATCCTGTTCATAAATCAGGTGTTCTCAGAGATTTAATAATTTAGAATTCACATGAGGATTTGGTGGAATAAACATTTCCTTTCTCTGTTAAGCTGCCTCTTAACTTTCTATCTTCCCCTTTCTCTTCACTGCTTCCATTTTTTTAAGCCTTCTTTAAGTCTTTGCCAAAAATAAAAATAATAAAAAATAAATAAAACAACAACAAAAGAGGCCAAAGAAGCCAGAAACCCTTTCTGCATGTGGTTACAAGACACATAAAAAGCAGAGTTATGCTTGAGGATAACAAACCGTCCTGACAACCCTTCTCAAAAATGTTTGCACTAGAGATTTAGAGGAAACACTTCAAGGGCCCTTAATAATGCTCATTGAATAGTCTTAATATTTTTATGGAATTGGTGAGTATGAATACATAAATAAAGATGTTTGAAGAGACTATAAGGAGTCAGAAGATGTTTTAGTTTATCTTCATATTAAAAACAGTAGGTAATGGAGAGACCCAGGGTGGGAGACCTACTTAGAAGAAGGAGGTAAGGTTTCCCTGAGGAGGGAGACTTTGATCTGAGAAAAATGGGGGCAACCATGTGAAGATCTAGGGGGAGCAGCATGCCAGGGAGAGGGTCCTCCATGTCTTGTTCTGTTTGAATTTTAGATTCCGTGAGAGGATGAATTTTTGTGTGTAGCTGATGTCTTTATCCCTTTGCTTATTATAATGTCTAGCATATAGAAGATATTTAACAAACATTGATTAAATGAATGAACTTGATATAAAGAATGTTAATAAATGCAATGGGAAATATCCTCCTGAAATTCAGATGGTTTTAAAAACATTTCTTGCAATAAGGTTTTGATAAAAGCTAAGGTTGTAAGATACAGTGACTTATGAAGACATTACGTGAAATAATACAGTCAATGTATGTGACCGTCCAGAGGTCTGACCTGATCCCACAGACAGCCTTTTTAGAATGCAGAAGAGTGAACAGATCACTTATCCTTTAAATGATCTTCTGTAATGATCATTATTTTTCAGCCAGGCTGACACTTTGAAGTTATAATGATGGAAGGTACTTTGATGTGCTGTACTGCTGCTTGAGGACAGAATCACATCTTCAGAAGACAGGAGAAGAGATTGTAAAGTTGGCATCCTATTCTCTCCTGTGAATGACAGAGCAAAATAAATGCAGAAACTTCCTTAGGATGCTCTGTTACATGAGCAAGTGGGCTTAACTGAGTTTTCAAAGAATTCTATTAAACAATCTTTAGGGATTAGCTTTATGTGCTAAAATTATTAAATAATGAACTTTCAAGAAAACGAACTTTAGATTTCATTAATTCAACACCCTTGTCAACTCATGGGGAAGTGTAAGTCCAGAGAGATTTGGTAATCTGTGTTTCTGCTAGTGATGGGGACATGACTAGACCCAGACTTTTCCATAATTCTGTGAAATCAAGTGAATACAAATATCAGAGACAGAACTCCAGAGAAAAGATGTCACCAAAAGACAATTTACATTTGGGATGGTATATATAGACATTTTTCTTGGTTGTGGGAATTTAGAGTATAAAGCTGAGGGAAATGATGGAAGCAAAGAGAAATTAAGAGATGGACAATTGTATGAACCACTTTTGTTTCCCTTGGGCAGAGAGTCCCTGAGCCATTAGATAGTGGCACTTGACTTGAGAAAAATGTTCCTAAAGAGAGGGACATGAATCTTTGTAGTCTAAGAAAAGGCATTAGTAAATACAAAATGAATGCACAAAAGCTTATTTTTCAAAAGTTTTAACTTTTGAGCTGAAAGATAAAAGATCACAACATTTCCATTTCTGCGGGGAATATGAATCTTTATAAATGGACAGCCTGAGGAGAGGAGAGGGAGGGCTTACAGGAGGTTCTGCCATTCTGAGAGCCTTTGTGACCTTTTCAGGAAACTGTCAACTGTTCCAACCAGGAGTCTTCATCACCACTTTCTTGACAGTGACATATTATCTCTCTGAACTGGCAGGGTGCTTAGCCCATCAACTCTGTTTTTTTCTCTTTCCCACCTTTCCCTCTGCTCCATTCAGCTGCTATGTCATGTCCTCTGTGGCCTTGGCATGTGGATTTACCACTTTAACTAAAGCCAGGCCATTTCTATTGGCTTCCCTATCAATTTTATACTTTTCCTACTAACATTAGCTTCATTTGCTAAAATTATTTTTCCCTTAATTACTCTAAGAGTATGAATAGAGATTTATTGCAGTGAAAAATTATTTTCAATTTTAGGGTCAAATATGTGCATACATACCTATATAATCATTCATATTTAGGCATTTTATAAAGCCAACTCATCTATATTTTATTTATTTATTTAAGATGAAGTCTCACTCTTGTTGCCCAGGCTGGAGTGCAGTGGCACAGTCTTGGCTCACTGCAACCTCCGCCTCCCGGGTTCAAGCGATTCTCCTGCCTCAGTTTCCCAAGTAGCTGGGATTACAGGTGCCTGCCACCATGCCTGGCTAATTTTTCTATTTTTAGTAGAGATGGGGTTTCACCATATTGGCCAACCTGGTCTCAAACTCCTGACCTCAGGTCCACCCGCCTCAGCCTCCCAAAGTGCTAGGATTACAGGTGTGAGCCACTGCACCAGGCCCAATTCCTATATATTTTAAACTATAGGAAGCCAGCATTGGGTCCACAAAGTGATGTAAAGACATGACTTTGAGCATCTAGAACAGTGATTTTAAAACCTACCTCAACTACTGGAACACATCTTTCTTTGATAGAATGTCAATACATAAAACTAGTAAGAGAGGACTCATCTGGTTGAAATGAGTGAGAACAGGATAGTCTATAATCCCATTGCTTATCTTATATTCTAATTCCCAGAGCACCCTACTTGAAAGCCAGTTGTTTAGTTGATCACTAGATATCAAAGTGAAATGATCAATATTAGTTGCACTTGCCTTTTTTGGTCAGAAATGTTGGAGGCAATTTTGGGTGGTAGAAGCAGTAGTTCGTTTGGTGGGATTGAATGTCTCCATGTTTACTTGTTTCATTTCTTATTATGCAGCAGAAATGTGATGGGGCCTGGTTGTGTGTGTATAGTATAAGTGTTGTCAGTTCCTTCTAAGACATGCGTTTACTGTCTAAGGGAATTTTGAACCTCATTCCCATTTACCATGCCAAAACATATATATCTATTTTATGTTGCCTTGTTTTTAGCATAAGAGTATATTTACTTAACGTTGCTTGTCTTATTATGAGTCCTTGGGCAAAACAAGAGGCAATTGTACTTTGTTCTTTGTTGGATGGGTGGCAGTTTTCAGAAATGCAACAGATTTTTAAATTTCAAAATAGCAAACAATGGGGTCTATCTTTCCTCTGTTTTGGGGAAGTAAGAATAATAATTATTTTCTCTCCTAGCTTTTAAAGATGAAAATCAGTTTTTATTTGATATTGTAATTTAGGACATCATTTTAATAATTTTATATCATATGCTTGTCTCATAAATAATATACTATACAATAAAATTTAATGAGGACCCACTTTAAGTCTTGTATAGACTAATTAAAAGCTACAAAAAAGTCTTGATATAATGAGGTCCTTCATTCTTTTATTAGTTAGAATAATGCTAGCTGTTACAACAGACAACCCACAAAATTTCAATGGCTTTAAACAATCAAAAGTTTATTTTTAAAAATTATATAACACTCCATTATTGGTGTCCCTGGCCACCAGTAGGCTTTCACGTTTATTCTGTGACCCGTATTCCTTTCATCATGTGGCTTTGTCATGCTATAGGTCCTTTGCAACTAGCTCACTCAGGAAAAGAATGTCACAAGGTGACACACTTAACCACCTTGGTCTTCAATGACACATCTACTCACATTCTGTTTGCAAGAATGAGTCACTTGCCCCTCCTAGATAAAAGAGGGGCTGGGAAATGTGGTGTCTGTTTTGGTAGCTGCTTCTCATAAATAACTTATACTTTGGAAAGAGAAAACAGACTTTTGGTGAGTAGTTGGTTGTCTGAGCTGTAAATCTGAATCTTAGAAACACTATTATAAAAATCGTTTACCGAAATGTTGCATTATCTTAGTGTTGTGTAGACCAAATCCTGAGGAAAATAATAAATTTTTTTAAAAAATTAAAAACAACCTAAGAGATACAAGAATTGAACATCAGTGTAAAATTTAATTTATTACTATTAAAATATTTTGTGTTCTTAGTTTTTTGTTAGTATTTTATTTAAAACCAATTTTGCTTTTGTACACTAGAACTTCCCTACAAATATGTTTGTGTTTATCCATGATAAATATGGATAACTGTAATGTATCTGGAAGACAAACTCTAAGTCTTTAGAAAATGAGAAAAAATGAGATGCAGACAATGCAAATTTTTTGTGTGTATGAAATGCAAGCAAATGAAAATTTACTCTCAAGCTACATTTTGCTGAATAATTTTATTTAGTCATGAATTTATTCTAATAGTAGAATAAAAATAATGAATAGATAAAACTGCTTATATTTATGTTTCTGATTGCTTATTATTCCATATTCCTGAGTTGTGAGTTTTCATTTTAGTTCATTTCTCTGTGTGGTGGTGGCTAAGAGTGACCCTTCTGGCCATTTTTCTATGTGGCTTTGCTGCACTTTTCTCCTTCCTTTATGCATCTCTGCACATTTTTCCATGAGCTTCCTTCAACCCTGCAGTCTTTTAATCTTTGTCTGTTCATTTCTTACATCTCCCTACAGGTCTCTCTGTCTTCTCTTCTTTTATGGAGTTCTTCATCTGTGGACAATGGAGAATGGTGAGATTTAGATTAGACATCAGTGGTATTGAAATTTAAAATGTCTCAGTGAAAACACCCATAGCCTTGCCGTGGTTCAGTAAGAAGCAGAGGGCAGGTGTTTGATGCTGGAAATCAGTGAGATCACTGTGCACATTTATGTAACAATATGCTCGGCCCATCACTTTGTTCAGCCTTGGCCCAGAATCATCATTAAGCATGAACATGAACCACAGACCTTTAAAAAATGTTCATAAATAGGCTTATTGAATGTTTTCTTTCTCTTGCTATATTTTTTTCAGTGACCACCTATGCCTTCCCTGCAACTATGTGCTATGTCTCTTCAAATACATTTCATTTATAATGTTTTTAATAGCCAAATTCCCACTCAGTAGAAAACTAGAGTTACTGCCATAGCACTAAATGACAGTGAGGCAAAATCACTGAAAACACACAAAGAAATGTGTGTTCTTCTACAGATGCTCTCAGTCATCTGTAGTCCAATTTTTTTCATGTCTGGAAAACTATTTGTTTTCTTGAACGCTTACTTGTACTTCAATCCCTGCTAGAAATGTCAGAAATCAGAGAGGCAGATAGGACTGTTCCATGTCAAGGGGTCTCTGGAGAGTTTAGTGTGAGCAAGAGTCAGGGAAAGTATGTCAAAATGTATGGAAGAAAACTCATGTGAATGAAAAATACGGATAGCTTTTCTTTGAAATGTACTCATTTACTTTTTTTGTCTGCAACACATGACTGAAGTTTGAAGGGTAGAATAAAATTAACAGCTGTGGTAATAAGATAGAGTACTTCTGCAAAAAAGTAAATTGGTGGGTTGAAAAGAGAGAAGTGAGAGATGTTTGCGTCATTTCTGGGTCAGACCTACAGAAAAGCTTTCAAGGTCTTTACAGGGTCACTGTAAAGAAAATGTGAAACAAGTATGATTCAAAAATAAATGCTTTGAATCAAAAGGTACTTAATATAATTATAAGTACTTTATGTTGAGATAAATTACAGCTCCATGTCAATTGTATGTAAAGAAATAGTCCCCAGTTTCCCTTTATGTTTTAAATCTTACATTTTAAGGTATTTGCCATTTTTTGTTCTTCTTAATTTTTTCTCTTTCCCTCCTTTCTTTTTTTCTGAATGCCAAGTACATTTGTTAAAATATTTAGAATTTTTAAATAGAAATGTGAAGCATCAACCATTTCTCTCCAGAACACACAAATGTAGGTTTTGACAGAACTGCCTATCCTCATGCCTAGCCCCACAGCACAAAGACAAGCTTAGATGCCCCGGGATCCATGAGTTCTGTAGTCACCATTGTATGTGTCCAACAGAGGGGAGTGTATATGATCTATTTGGACTTGCACAAATCTCAGAAGACTGTATTCATGTTATAAAATAATCTTGAAATATCCTAAATTCAGACGATTAGAGAATTACTCATGTAATTCAGACCACTCATGTGGGCTGAATGTCAGAAATCCTTCTAACCTTCAGGTCTCCTTGACTTCTCTGGAGAATCAAGCTAGGTTTACTCATTTCATTTTCATAGCAAGGATCACTTTTAGCGAAAATGATGCACTGGAAACAATAGTCATTTCTGATGCTCCATGATAGAGTTGCAAAGCATGCTTTAAAAAATGCACCTTATTCTGCATTATTTGCAAGTTTACTTGTGGTGTGAATGTTTTTTCTACTATTTCTACTATTAGATGTGAAGAAAAGTATACTTGGCTTAAAATGTGTCACACCATGACAATTAGTCTTCTAATATTTGCCTCATTTATATAAAATATAATACATGTTTGTCAGCATGTAAAGGTCCTGGGGGCCTTGTACCTAGAGTTAAAGCAGGCACAAAGCAGCCATGACATTGTGACAAGATATACCATGCGTGTGGAACTCAGGGCCAGAAGAGGTGGGTTCTGGTTCCAGCCCTCCCGCTTACTACTTTTGTGACCTTGGTTATGTCACTCAACCTCTCTGAGCCTTGGTTTTCTTGTTTAAAAATTGCGGGTATTACTTCCTGTTTCCATGGGTTGTTGTAAATTTTGTTTGCCCATGCTCCTTCTCATTCCACAAACGATTTAAAATGACATGCATATATTTAAAGATAAAATAAGATGTATTTGCCAGTGCTTTGTAGATTATACAAACATAAGTTGCCTGCCATCATTATAGGGCCATTTTCATTTCTGGGGAGGCCTATCACTCGGAACAAAAATGCTTCTAAGCACATGTTTTAGAGATTTCCATTTAACAATTTCAAATAAAGCAAGTATGTGTGACGTAGACTGGTTGTAAGTGCCAATTTAAAATAAGCCCATAAGAAAAGAAGACTATCCAAGACCTTTTCGACTGAAGACCATTTACAACTAATAAAAATAGCAGACTCTCACATACTTAATGCCTGTTAATTGAAAAGAGCATATATGACAAAAAGCTGTTAGGATTAAGTAACTCTTGTAAATGGTATTTCGTTAGTCATAACAAACATGTACTAACATTTGAGAAAGAATAGAACTTAATTTTGTTAAGAGTGAGTCATTTTTACTCAGCTTAAAAATTATGCTTTTGTTGCATTTAGGATTGGTGGATACCTCACAAGAACACAGAGGCTTTGAAATATCCGTGGCCTACTGGTTCCTTCCTCTAATTCCCTTCATTATCAAGTGCCATTTGCCTTAATCTTGGGTTACTAGTAATGCTATCTGCGCTGTGCGTCTAAAGCCTCCAGAAAGATTGCTCAGGCATGGCCTAATAGCTTTTATCAGTTCACCCAGTGGCTCTTACACTTTGATACCTGAAACCTAGAGTTAACTGTGTAGGACCAAGCTCTTCTGAAGGAGTCAACTGCTCTCCTCTGTCAATAATGGCTGTTTATGCCAAAACAGCCAAGAGAACCTCCCCACCCCCTTCCCTCTGTCAAAGTGAAATGGAACCTAAGAATGGAAGCTAGTGGCTATTTTGCCATACCCCAACCAACTTGCTATTGCTTAATTCCATCTAATTATCAGCTGGGCGTCGTGGCTCATGCCTGTAATCCCATCACTTTGGTAGGCCGAGGCAGGAGGATCACTAGAGGTCAGGAGTTTGAGAACAGCCTGGCCAACATGGTGAAACCCTGTCTCTAATAAAGATAAAAAAATTAGCTGGGTATAGTGATGGGTGCCTATAATCCCAGCTACTGGGAGGCTGAGGCAGGAGAGTTGCTTGAACTTGGGAGGCAGCAGTTGCAGTGAGCTGAGATTGTGCCCCTGCACTCAAGTCTGGGCGACAGAGTGAGACTCTATCTTAAAAAAAAAGAAAATTTTTTTAAAAAAGAATAATTATAGAGAAATTACTGGATATGCTGTGCATTGCAACAAGATTAGACTCTTTCTCCTTTGTTTATATTTTAAGCTGTTATTTTTCTCACTAATATCTGTGTAGTATATTTGGCTGATAGTAAGATTGTTAGTCTGTTTCTGTTTATCTGAGGCATGGTTACCTTCCCTCCTTCTCTATAAAAAAAAGTTTTTTTAGGGAAATTTATTGTGAGCTTCTGTTTTCTTTTAAATAATACATAATTTTAAAATTCTATTTCCCAAACAGTGAAACGATTTGAAAACATTCACTTGACATTACAATTCATGTTACACAGAAAAGTGATAAAAATCATGAAATCAGTTTGCCCCCTTCTTTATGATAGATAAAACTGTAGTGTTAAAGAATACATGAGAAATACTAGTTTGATAAAAGCTCTAATAAACTTTATATTAAACAACCATGATTTTCCTTAAAAGTAATAGAGTTGAGGGACCCACATGCTTGAAAGTGAATACACTTTGGTGGTCCAAATGCCCGAATTTCAAGGTAGGGTGTGTATGCACCTGAATTCTGGGGCTTCCACTTACTAATTGTGTATCCTTAAATAGTTATTTAAGCTCTCGAAGACTTTATTTTTCTCATATATAAAATGTGCTGATGTTCCTAACTCACAGAATTTTCTAAGGACAAAAGGAGACACGTATGTAAAGTGCCTAATAAAATGTTGGGCACATAGCAGCCCAATGGTAGCAGCTGCTCCTGTTATTTTTGTTATTAACAAACAGAATGAAGGGAAACCAACCTAGAAGGTTAGATTTTCTAGGTTCCCTTCTGCTTAGATCAATTTAGGAAACGGCCCTCAGAGAGACTGTAATGTCTAGGCAGGAAACAGGCAGGGGGCTGACTTGGAGGAGCTGGACTGGGAAGGTAAATTCTATGCTGGGAGAGCCACAATCCCAAATTTCAGACTTACTTCTTTCTGCTATTTTGCAGCATCATGTGATGTGACCGTACTCTCTGTTTTGGATAGGTTACTTCACTGCAATTAATAATGTCACTTCATTTTTTATCAATGGAAACTTTATATACCTTAAGCATATGCTTGCAAGGAACAGAGAGTCTTTTTCTCTTCTTCTTTTCCTCTCTTCCTCTCTCCTCCATAGAAAGAATTTACTCCCCATATGGGGATCTTATAAAAGCTGAAAGGATTCAAGGTCAAAATAATACACTGAGTGGTTGAAAAGCTGTGTATACACCTTCATGTTCTCCTTCTTACCCTTTTGCATTTACAATAGCCCTTCTTACGAAGAAACAGAATTCATCTTTAATTTGCTTTATGCCATTTATCCTTTTATATTTGATTGGCTCAGTGATTTTCTTTACTTAAATGTAGCATTTATCAACCACAACTAGCAGTGCATGTTATAGTGTTAACAGAAAATTCCACAGGACCCTCTTCACACTAGGGAAGGGGACCATCTGCTACTTTCATATTAGGATGTCAGGATTTAGAGGTCAATGTGTTTCCTCATCAAGGCTGAAGGCTTTGGGAATCCGGGGAAGTGTCAGGCTCCAAGCAGCATAATGAATGACAGTTGCTGACTGGCTAGGCTAGCATGTTTTCAACAGGGGATATCGCTGTTCGGTATAATGTGCTGGGACTTAGTGTGCTAAAAACACCCAGCTTGGGTAGTGAGGCAGGCTGTGCCTTTTCCCCCCTGATTCTGAACTGCATTTTCATCTTGGAAGAAATTATATTGAGGTCTTCATTAGTGGCACCCAGCAGGGTGAAGGCTCCGTGAGGGCTGATAAGCACTATGGCTGAAAAACGATCAGCCTTTGTGCAGGCAGTTGAAGGTTTAAGTTGCCTGAACTGGAGAGAGTCTGAAGAGGCGATTATGTTAAGCAAGTAATGTGTATTGGTAACGTGGAATCAAATTATTAGGGTCAGTAACTTCCTGGCTTTCCCAGTGCATTAAATGAAGACATAATATTGCATTTGTGTCGGGTACTTCTTGATGCCACATAATGTCAGCACTGTCCGGTCGTCCGTACTTCACAGCATGTCACCTCTAATTTCATGGGATTATCTGCGCTGTTGCATTATTAGATACTCACGATCTTGAGCTTCCTTTGAACTCACAGCAGGGCAGTGCAAAGTCATTATTGTGAACACTTCTGTGCTTTCTTGTCTTATATACAAAATTATGGCCACATTTAGAAAGGTAGATATATCCCACTATCATACTTCCAAAAGTGTGCGTTTATTTGGTGGGAATGAAAGCTATTGATGGAAAAAACATTGAATGTGAAAAGTGTTTTAAAGGACTAGTGTTAGAAAGGTGTCAAGGCAGTGAATTAGTATTAGAAATGTTTATAGGACAGTGGTTCTCAAAGTGTGGCCTGATCAGCAGCCTCAGAATCACCTAGGAACATATAAGGAATGCAGATCCTACTGAATTGGAAACTGTGGGGTGGAGCTCAGCAGTCTGTGTTTTAACAAGCCCTGCAGGTGATTCTGATGCATCTCAAGTATGAGAAACACTGCTGTAGCATTTACGGAGTACATGAATGACATAAATCCATATGTTCTGGGGTATAGCAATAGACAAGACAGACGAAGTATCTGCCCCCATGGACCTTATTAAGTTACAAAGGAATATGTGGTTTTTTGCCCTGATGAAATGTTTATACATACCCAACAGAGCCTATAATTATTGTAGATACCATTATATTCTTCATTTGAATTAGCCTGTTATTTTCTTCGGTATCAGAGAATGGCTAACAAAAGATAATGAATAAGTGATTCCTTTGTGCATTTCAGAACCATTCCCCTTGCAATATGTATATCCATGGCCATTGTCACCATTGGCTATGTGCTGACAAATGTGGCCTACTTTACGACCATTAATGCTGAGGAGCTGCTGCTTTCAAATGCAGTGGCAGTGGTAAGTCCAAGTTGGGAAAATGCCAATTGGAATTTAGGTTAATGAGCTGATGCAATTTTATAGTAGTTCCCTCTAGCAGAAAGTGTTTTGAAATTCAGTAATCTTTTCTTGACCTGAATAATAGTGAATATTTAAAAAATTTAGAGCATACCTTAGCATATTCCATTTAACTGATATATCTAAATTCCTATATGATTTCCCATTATTTCTAATTTCTTATAAAACAGTTTCACACATACATGCTTGAAAATCTGCCAAAGCTTATTCTCCCAGCATGTCTTTAAAGATAGGTGGACAGTTATTGAATCTAAATAAATGCATTTTTTCTATGCAAATTACAATTTATTCTGTACACTTTCCTGTTTGTAAACTTTTCATATGCGAACTCAGAATCCTTTCCCCAAGTGTCACTTAAGAATTTTGATGTGGACCATATAAATTTGGTTTTCCTAGTATATCCTTTTGAATACTAGTCCTGCGATATTAATAAATTTAGGAAATACTGGGTTATTCAAAGTTAAACCGATGTTGTTATAATACTTCTCAGAATATTAAAGATACCAACATGCATTTGAACTCCCTAAGAAGTGGATACACATAATTTTATAGCATTTTCCAAAATTTATTTGACACTAGGACCATCTTTGTCCCCAAAGATCATGTTATAAGACTGTTATTCTGTGATACACTTTTATTTTGCATAAAACTTAGCTAGTAAGAGACCATTCACTCTTGACCTCATAACAATGAATGGTGAAAAGTTAAGTTCCCATTACTTGATGTCAGTTCCTTTTAAAATAGTTAGTATTACCTCATATCAGCAGCATCTACAGGGAATAAATTATCTCATTTCATTTGAACCTGTGTATGAGTTCACTACATTGAAAAAGACTTCGACCACTGCTCTAAGTCCCACCAGACAATCAAATATACAAAGCTTATTGAAGTCAGGTCAGTCATCTCATCTTTTGAGACAAAGGGCAGCACTTATTCTTTGGGCATAATGTGGCCCATTAATTGCATAGCACCAGCTGCATCAAGGACAACTAATGAATCCAACACATTTTCTTTTTTTGGAAAATACATCCTTCATGGAAATTTGCAATATCGCACATATCATGGCATAAAAGAACATTTTAGAAGTTGTGTTTATCTTTTAAGTTTCTGTGGCTTATCGGACTTATATTTGTGTTCTAGCCTTTTTATAGGAAACCACAAAAGAAATTGACACATACATGAGGGGGAGGGAGGGACTTTATAAACAGAGATTTAGCTAGTGTGATTTTCTGGGAAAAAGATTTTCAGAGCTACTCATGTATATGCTATAAATTATTAAGTCATCAATTATTTTATTTACCTCCTAAGAATGGGATTGGCATATGAAACACATATCTGTAATACTTCTCAGTGTATTTCAATATAAAATTTGGTTTTCCAGGCTAAAGAGAACGTATTATACAGAAAGATTTCTATCTCCAGTAGAACTTCTGATTTGAGCTTTTATCACTTGTCAGAGTCAGAGACAATACACATCATAGTTGATAAAGATTCGATAAATGGATCATTGCTTTTTGAAAGTAGAGAGAAGGTGCTTGTTTAGATCTTTGACTATAGTTTTGCAACAAGCAATGCCATGGTCCTTGCTTTTGATTATTGTCTACGGAGTTAGTCTGACCCTAACCAAAGAGAGAAATTATAAAACATACAAGTATCACCAGGCTAATAGAAAGTCATAGAGCAAGTTTGGCCTAAATTGTTTCATTTTATTCCACTTTCTGGCAAGGCATTAATTTGCTTCGTTCTTTCTTTCACTAGACCTTTTCTGAGCGGCTACTGGGAAATTTCTCATTAGCAGTTCCGATCTTTGTTGCCCTCTCCTGCTTTGGCTCCATGAACGGTGGTGTGTTTGCTGTCTCCAGGTGAGTGAGTTCATGTATTTCCAGAAACACATTTCTGTTTTTGAGATTGGATGTGATAAGGATAACTTTAAAAAGAAAAGAAATAGTGCCTCCAAACCTGTTGTTTTTAAAGGGACATGCAAGATTGAAATATTGGTCCAAGTATCAACAGCACGTTTTATTCTGTCCATTAGAGGGCACTGCTTGCCTATTAATAGCTTATTTGGAAGACGGACATGTGGCTTTTTTAAAAATAGTATTTCCACAGTCTAACAATGGCATTTTATTTCTGGTGATATAATTTTCTGTTTCTCTGAAGATGCCAAGAAAAAAGTAAAGTAAGAGACATCAGAAATCACCACCCCTACCATCAGTATTTCCTTTGTTTAGTTTGATGCAATAGTCTTTTTGTTTTAATATACGATTAAAAGCCAATCAGATAAATGTGAATGCTACATATAGGTGTGTGTACCTGTGGATGTGCATGTGTGTGTGTTTGTTGAATTGGATTGACAACACACATATAATACTAGGAATCTAGAACTAGATTTCCCATCAGCTATTTATATGTAGAGAGAGCTATGCTGAGTCAGATATTGCTATTCTTTCTCTTCAAAGAATAATATAATGTTGGCAGATTTTGTAAAATCCAAATTTAGATTTCCTATGATATTTCTCCACCTTATTTGAAAAGTGAACTTAGGCAATCACCTAAGGAATACCTGACCATTTGGTATGAAAAGATGCACGTTTTCTCTGGGATTTTTGGATTTTCCCTTTGAAATGATCAATCATACAGTCAACTCCACCCACATTTCTCTCCCATCAGGTTATTCTATGTTGCGTCTCGAGAGGGTCACCTTCCAGAAATCCTCTCCATGATTCATGTCCGCAAGCACACTCCTCTACCAGCTGTTATTGTTTTGGTAATGCATATTAACAAGTATATCTAGATATAACCTTGAATAATAGGTTAGCAAAAAGGAATTCCAACCAGACATTAGATAGTATTTTACTTTCTCATTCATTGCTAATGTATGTCATGGTGGAGTTTGGGAGGCAGGATATCTTCCATCTCTTCCCTTTACTCCATGTTTCTGATGCCTATTTTTTTTGATGCTTTGGGGCAAAAATCATCATCACCTCACTTTCATCTTTGCAGAAATGTGTAAGGTCTAAGGAAAATGATTGGCTTGGCTCCTCTCATTGACATAGCACCTCACAGAAAAGAATGTAGAGTATTAAGTCCCAATGACTTAAGGAAAGTAGAGCAAAAAGCTACAGTCCAAAAAGTACCCAGATGTATCATCTAGGCACCTTATAATGAAATGCACACAAAATTATTGAAACAATTGATAAAATCCTAGACAGTGCCATGATTCATTTGAGACATTTGAGAGCAAGTGTCTTTTATCCTGCAGGATAAAAATAAAAGCACCACGAGGTAAATTTGAGTTGTAAAATTCTTTCTGCAGAGCAAAGTGTGAAATGTGAGCTACAAAAGACTGTATGAGGTGTAAAAGTCCTCAAATACCCATTGGCAATGTTATATTCATTTTTACTGATGATTTTGTAACATTTCTCTCAACTGGAGTCTGTTGTCAGGAGCACCACAGAATGCACTGAACATTTTTTTTTCATGCATTTAATTTGTTTCAGAACGTTTCCTTGAAATTTCTTTTTAAAGTATGTGTACTCTCTGTGCAGAATCTGGATGTTAACGTCACTTGTGGGAACAGAATGTATTATTCCGTGAAGAGGGCTTTCATTTTAAGCCTCTGCTATCAGTCATGCTGTCCTTGGCATGTGCAGCTGCAGAGACTTGCTAAGCTGATCTCTGCGCTTCATTCTTCTCCGTGGTCTTGAGGGTCACACACGGCAAGCACACCAGGAGAGTAAATGTGGAGGAAAAAAGGTCAATGTTTTGCAATCAAGAGCCAACAGAATCACCTATGAGTGTCTGTGTTTCCTGGGTGTGGATAGCCAAGAGCTCACCGGAGAGCATTTGCAGAGCTTTCTGTAAATCTTCCAATTGGGCCTCTTTTACTGTTCATTATCGGTTATTTACTAATCATCTCAATCTTTGAGTCTTTCAATTTTGAGTCATTGAGTAACCTTTCTTTTACTCTTTGAAGACATACTATCTTCTCTCAAATGCAAAAGGAACTAAAAACACAACACAACATTCATATAGAATTCCACTTGAATAAAGTATAATGGCCATATCACTCTCATACTGTTACTGGTGTGTAAATGGATTATGACAACAGAATATAGAAAAGAGATTAGTCAAATCCAAGTTTTAACTATGATGATAATTTATCGGTATAAATAATTATTTGAAAAAGGTCGTAATGCATAGTGAGGTTTTTGTTGTTAATCATCTGTGTTTTCACTGAATTCACCAAGCTTGCTTCCCTTTCCCCCCTCAGCACCCTTTGACAATGATAATGCTCTTCTCTGGAGACCTCGACAGTCTTTTGAATTTCCTCAGTTTTGCCAGGTGGCTTTTTATTGGGCTGGCAGTTGCTGGGCTGATTTATCTTCGATACAAATGCCCAGATATGCATCGTCCTTTCAAGGTAACCTCAGCAATCTTGATGGGTTTACATAAATCTCTCTCCTAATACCTAGTCCTCCCTTTGTCATAACTTGCTGATGGGGAGGTTGGGCTGGGGGCAGCATCTGTGGAATAAAAATGTTTAACTCTTGCAGGCAGTGCTTTCCTGTTGGATTTATTTTAAGTTGGAAAAAAAACAGTGGATCCAATTTTTTATGTGATGGGCTTGAACTTTGTATGTCAAATTTTTGAAAAATGACTGTATGAATGAATGTTTGGTATGTTGATTTTTCATGAATGTGTTCAATGACCTGATATACTCAAAGTATGGGCTACTTCTGTCTGTCTTTATGCTAGAGTTGTGGACAGCCATGGTGAGGAGGAGTAAGGGAGATACTTTGTTAATGCCAATTCCAAAAAGGAATTTGCCTTTACAAAATAGGCATTTTAAGTACTTAAATGTTGTGACTTGTTACATTGCTCTTTCTCTATATTATACACTCCAAAAAGAATAGAAATGTAAAATATACAGGGAAAGAGAAGATCTACAAATTTACCACTTGATACCCATTTACCATAAGTAAGCATCTCCCTTTTGGAGGACTGGAGAAAAAGCTTGTCATCTTCTTCAGACTTGACTCATGGATTGATTTGACCTCACGATTTATTTGTTTTTAAGAAATGGCATAGATAAGGTTGTCAGTCATGTTGTCAGGATTTGTTTCTAGTAATATTCATTGCCTAATGCTGGTGGCATCTTTATTAGCGGTTGAATAGGAGTTGGCTTGTTTTATTCCTGTCAGTTATTATTGTGGATCTCAACAGAAAAATCAATATGCACTGAAAGACTTTAACATGTAACAAGCAGCCGGTGCTCTTGACTCCACATTAAAGTGGGTTCTAATCATAATTATCAAAGAGCCAGTCTTTTAAAATCAAAACCATAAATCATCATGGCATTTAACTAGTAAAATAATTCCAACAGAACATCTCTAATAAAGTATCCATTTTTGTCCTTAGAGTTTGTTCTAGCCAAAGATTTAAAAACAATTTAAATTAAGTTGAATTACATTTAAGGGAGTACGTTTAATACATTATCTGTGCACCATGAAAGAGATTTTGCTACTAAGGCACGTTGGTGCCTGTTACCTGGTCGCATGACTACAGCATATCACTAAAGTATATGTCATGACTGACACGCTCATCTCAAACCCAGCTTCTGTTGCTTGAACATGTTTGAAGTGACTTTTTTGTGTTCTGTGTTCCAGGTGCCACTGTTCATCCCAGCTTTGTTTTCCTTCACATGCCTCTTCATGGTTGCCCTTTCCCTCTATTCGGACCCATTTAGTACAGGGATTGGCTTCGTCATCACTCTGACTGGAGTCCCTGCGTATTATCTCTTTATTATATGGGACAAGAAACCCAGGTGGTTTAGAATAATGTCGGGTAAGAATTTTAAATACTTTCAGGACATTGTGCAACACCATGTAGAAAACCCATAAAGGTGTGCATACATAATATACTTAACATTTAAAAATGTAAGTGGCACAATTGATTTGAGAACATTATGGCATTTTAATTGGAACTGCTTTTTGGCAGGAAGGACATTTAGGGTACAGCCGTTGAATCCTTTTGGATATTAGTTTGGGCTGCTGTAATCACTTCTTAGGAGAAACAGCTTTGTTTTAGATGAAATTTTATCAGTAGTTCTCTAATCGACCTAATCTCTCTTTGAATCCTTTACTAACCTAATTATTTTCCTTCTAGTTTGAATGCAGTTTAGTGATTTTATATCATAATATGTAACTTGATGAGTGACACGAGATTTGTTGGGGAGTTAGGCAGTGGCCTGCAAATGCCTTAAACATTATGACTGTACGCTACCTTAAAAGGAAGGGTGACTCATGAAGGATTATAATAACAAGAACAATGGAGAGAACAATAGCAGCTTCCACATGTGAGTGCACATGTATGACTTCATTTAATTTTTTTTAAATTTTACTTTAAGTTCTGGAATAAACGTGCAGAACGTGCAGGTTTGTTACATAGGTATACATGTGCTATGGTGGGAATGTAAATTAGTTCAACCATTGTGGAAAAACAGTGTGGCAATTCTTCAAGAACCTAGAACCAGAAATATCATTTGACCCAGTAATCCCATTACTGGGTATATACCCAAAGGTTTATAAATCATTCTACTATAAAGACACATGCACACGTATGTTTATTGCAGCACTATTTACAATAGCAAAAACTTAGAACCAACCCAAATGCCCATCAATGATAGAATGGATAAGGAAAATGTGGCACATAAATATGATAGAATACTATGCAGCCATAAAAAAGAATGAGTTAATATCCTTTGCAGGGACATAGATGAAGCTGGAAGCCATTATTCTCAGCAAACTAACACAGGAACAGAAAAGCAAACAGCACATGTCCTCACTCATGAGTGGGAGTAGAACAATGAGGACACATGGACACAGGGAGAGGAACAAGACTTTATTTAATTCATATAATATCCTACTGAGGTAGGAAAATTATTATCCCCAGTTAATAGGCTTTGAATTATAGCATGAGAGAATTCAGGTCACTTGTTCCAAGTCATACAGATATAAAGTAGAATAGCTGAAAGTCAAACTCAGGCAGTTTTATATTTTAGGAGAATCACCCTGGGGGTTATGAGGATGGATTAAGATAGGTTGGGGCTGAAGACAGAATATTGACTTTGGTGGTTACTGCAGCAATCCTGATGAGAATTGAGGGGGATTCTGAAGACAGGCAGTATCAGCAGGGTCTGAGAGAAAGTGAAACATACTAAAAGGAAAAATCAGCAAGACTTGGTGACCAGTTAAACTGGGGGAGGAGAAAACATAGTAGATGACTAGGTAGGAAGGGTGCTTATGAATAGCCTGTGTTGAAAGCATATCTCTCTGTCAGAGGCTCTCCTGAGTCCTCTCCCCTACATGATCATCTCAAGCAATCCTCAACAAGGTTGATGTGTGAGGTGCTATTATTCCCAAGTCCAGATGAGAACACCAGAGCTCAGGAAAATGGAGAATTTATTTTTGAGTGTATGTATTTTAAACCATAGAACTAGGAATTGAACCCACATCTGCTGGACTTCTAAGTTCATGCTCTTTCTAGACTGGATCCCTTGTGGAAGTGGGGGGGGCGGAGAGAGAGAGAGAGAGAGGGAAAGAGAGAGACAGAGAGAGAGAGGGAGAGAGAGAGACAGAGAGAGAGAGAGAGATAGGTAGGTAACAAATATAGCCAGAAGGGCAGATCTATTCTCGCTGGTGAATGTGGTGAGTTTAGAACATAGCTTTCATACTTTTTCTTTGTTTTAATTTACTTACTTTACCATAATTAATTTTTTAAATTCCAGTTAAAAGTTTGGGGAGATTTCTGGTTAAATTATTAATAAATAATGCCAGTGTTACTAAAAAAACAAACAACCAAAAACCTTGATATGCATATTGAATCTCTAGTGTGCTGTGCAGACTCATTGAGAAGTCAGTCCTTTAAAGCAGAGTTTTATTAATACCTTTTATTAGCATTCAATTGGAATTTTGCATCTTTAGATCTTATACTAATATTTATATCTGGATTTTGTTTCCCCAAAGAAATGTTACTATACAAATGAGGTGCTTTATGGCTGACACAGGCACACTGATTGCCTTAACTGAGTATTTAATCTCTATTTCTTCTCAGATCACACTAGCTTTCTGTGGAATATTTTTAAGTTTTCTGTGTTCTAGACACTAAATATAGAGCCTGTTCTGAGGGAAAAGGGATCTTATTAAATACCATTTACCATTAGGGTTGCTTTATTCATTGCTAACATTTAGGATAGATTAGCACTCATCGCTGTGAAATCTGTCTGTCTCCCATACTAACCAAGACAGTTAAAACCCCTGAGCAGCACAGAAAATTAAGAGAATTGAGGAAGAAAGAGCTGGTGGTCCTAGAGTTAGACTAGAAGAAAGGGAGCATGATGAAAGAGCAAAGCCATTGTTCGATCCCACTTTAGCAGGCATTTTGTTCCTCCTGTTTGGAGTCAGCCAACTCTAATAGTTCTTTCCTCTTGCTAACAAGCACGTGTGTACTTTGTATTATTTCTTTGTCAGTTCATCTCAACAAGCGGTTTTCATGCTTGATCCTTCATTGATGTCTTTTGGTGTTCATGTAATTTTAAAGTTTGTTGCTATTTTTCTATCTCTAATGATGTTTTGAACATTTCCAAGGCCTCCAAATTTAGTGTTAGCCATTTGTGAAACTAGCAGCAATGGAGTAGTCCCATAATGGTTATTTGGTTCTCAAAAATGCCATTAAGTCTTACCAGGGAGCATGGCAATTCTGCTTTTAAACTGCGATCATTGTAACTCTTTATCTTTATAGCTGCCTTGAAAGTGAGTAGCAAAAAGCAACAGTCCTCCGTAATTTTGTTTGATTTTTCTCTGAGGCAGCATTCTTGTAGTAAAATAAAGAAAATTCATAATATTTATTGCTGCAATAGGAAGTATTTTCTTAGCCTTTGGCCAAAACAAAACACTCACACACAGACGCACAAACAACAAAATCCTGAAGCAGCGCCCTGTCCCTTCTCCCAACTACTCTATGATCATTTTGTTAGAGAGAAACTCAATGTGAACTTAGAGACCAAGAGCCTTTGCTTGGAGCAGTTTGTTCAATGATTTAATATCATGTTCTTTCATTAGGTAAAATTCCAAAACCTTTATATTATCATTTATTTTTACCCTGATAATGCATGAGTAGATCAGCCCTGTGAAAATGATAGTCTATCAAAATGCATTTTACCTAGGTTGTTTCCATGAAAAATGAGAGGTAACCAAATAGCACTCGGAAAATGGTGAAAGGCTGCTGAGAACTGACAGCCAGGGAATGTTCAGAATCCAAGGAGCTGAGATTTTCAGAGATTTGATAAATCTCTCCAGCCACAGGATGCCAGTATTGAACCACTTTTTGTTTGATAGCATTTCTAGGGAGAAAAGAAAACATGCTCTTAAGGGAATGGTGAGATACACGGAAAGCTTTTTTCTGCCATCTGTGACAGAGTGGTTTATTCTTCTGGTGGGTTAGTTATATTATTTATTTACTTATAGAAACACAAGCTTCTCACGCGAGGAAAAAGGGGCGGATACCCCAATGACATATGCAAATACACAAAGATAGCAAGACCTGGCAAACCTGGGCCAGGACTCACAGCAGCTGTTTTACTTGGCTGTCTCTATTTAGCAGCCAAACCTTGTCACGGGGTTGAGTGAGGTGACTGGAAGTGGGTCCCTCCTGCTCAGGGAGAGAGATAGAGGACAGCCTTATTTAAACAAAATCTTTGATTATAAAAAATCAGACTGGGAAACACCAGCAGAATGACTGTAATGCATCTTTGTGGACAGTGAGTTTGCAACTCCAGAGTCCTAAAAGCATATGCTGCATACAGTGGGTCAAGATAACTTCATTTATGTTAAATCACTGACAGCTGAATAATGCATTTAACAGACTGTTCACAAAGACTGCAGTGCAATATGTAAGTTAATTAAGCTTGCCTACATTTCTTAGGGGTCCAAACTATCTTCATTGTAAGAATAAAATGAGATCATGCTTGTGAAAATATTTGTAGCCTTAAAAAAATACTATTATTCTTATGAAGACTTCCAGAAAAAAAATGGCCTTGTGCCACATCACAAATGTGGCAATTTTTGCTGTAGTTCCCATATTGGTACCAGGTATGGTTGGGTAAATCAAATTTTGCAGGGTCAGTTGTTGTTTCAAATTATTTCAAGAATAACTACTGAACATGAAAGGTAAAGCTAAAAATACTACAACTGTTATTTGGTCCTGTACCTTACAGTTACTGAAAACACCAAATGCAGACTCATTAACACACCTTTATTTAAAGAAAGAGTACCGCGGGTTGATTATCCTTAAAGCCGAAAGACTTTTTCAACATGGATGTAGACATGACAGTTGAATGCCACATACTCTGCAGCTTTCCCCGGCAAGCAGGAAGCTTCCTTAAAGACATACTTGCCTCTCTTGAGCACTGCTGTCTGGTCCACTGCTGTAAGATAATCTAGAAGGAGAAGTTGCTGTGACTTCAACAGGTACTCATGGTCAAAATCAATTACTCTGCAGAAGCCTTCATTACGATGAAAGTCATTCAAATCCTGAGATTCCAAGAGAGATCACATAAGAAAGACACATTGGATATTGTCAACAGGGCTGATTAAACACAAAGGAAGAGGAAAGATAGCAGAAAGTGTGCAAAACCAGAAGAGAGATTCTATGGCCATGTGCTGCTACTGAATAACGGACCCAAACCAAGCTTTTAGGAAGGAGAATGACACATTAGGGAAGCAGCAGGATCTAAGTTGCTCCTCATTTGTCTGAATGGAGGCAATGTTATGACATGCGGAAGCAAGATGTCTAAGATAGCAGACATCTGGGGGTCCCTGAATATAGAGAAACATTTTTGGAAAAGGCTTTCATGTTGGGTGTGGAGGGCAGTCATGGAGATTAGTTCAGGAGGCTATGGGCAGGAGGATCTCTTTGGGGAGACAGGGCTGTAGATGATGTCTCTTTAACATCACTGCTTTACATCTGGCCATTGCAGATGCCTGAGATCTCTTGTTTTTCTGTTTGTTTTAAACTACTGTCACGTATCCCTAGCCCCTTCTCTGTCTAAGCTACATTTTCTTTACTATTTATTAATATTTCCTTTTCCCACAAATGCCTATTTTTATAGAATAAGTTTGTCATTTCCCTTTTCTGAAAATATGGGCTTTAATTGCTCTTGAGTGCTCCCTTATGCTGCACTTACATCTCAATGTAAAGAGTCGGCTGTGTAAAATACAGTTTATTTAGGAAACACTCAGAGTTTATAATTTACCGAGACTGTGCTGGGCCCTTTACAATTAATATAGACTGTAAAATTAGTGGGCTGAGGACAGTATCTTTGACAAACACAGAAGAAAAGGATGAAAAAAATACTTTTTTTTTTTTTTGAGATGGAGTTTCATTCTTGTTGCCCACGCTGGAGTGTAATGGTGCAATCTCGGCTTACAGCAACCTCTGCCTCCTGGGTTCAAGTGATTCTCCTGCCTCAGCCTCCTGAGTAGCTGGGAGTACAGGCATGCACCATCACACCCAGCTTATTTTGTATTTTTAGTAGAGATGGGGTTTCTCCATGTTAGTGGGGCTGGTCTCGAACTCCCAACCTCAGGTGATCCACCCACCTCAGCCTCCCAAAGTGCTGGGATTGCAGACATGAGCCACTGCACCCGGCCTGAAAAAAATACCTTTTAAAATGTCATTAAATATGGCTTGAAAGGAGCTATTACAGATAACAAGCCATGAATGAGGAGAAAGACTCTATGTCCAGATGAAAGACTATCTGGGCCTGAAACCATCAAGAGGTCAGGCTGTAAACAGCTCCAGGACTAGCAGGACATTGAAAAGGTTCTGTAGGAATTCATTACAAAGATAAGAAGCAAACTGGCTGGGCATGGTGGCTCACACCTGTAATCCCAGCACTTTGGGAGGTCGAGGCAGGCAAATCACTTGAGGCCAGGAGTTCAAGACCACCCAGACAAACATGGTGGAACCCCGTCTCTACTAAAAATACAAAATTAGCCGGATGTGGTGGCACATGCCTGTAATCCCAGCTACTTGGGAGGCTGAGGCAGGAGAATCGCGTGAATCTGGGAGGTGGAGGTTTCAGTGAGCCGAGATCGCACCATTGCACTCTAACCTGGGCAACGAGTGAAACTCCGCCTCAAAAAATCAAAACAAAACAAAAAAAGAGGCAAACAAGAACTAATGTCCCCAGAAACCAAGGTCATAGAGTTCTAGAACTGCTAAGATAAAATGACCTTAGAAATCATCTAGCTCAATGGTTCTGAAGGAAAAAAGGTAGACTTCCTTCTGAACACTGGAGCCAGCCTTTCTTGGGATGCCCTCAGTTCCTACATTTTTGTGTCTATCAGAATTACAGACTGCTAGGCCCCATCTTCAGTTTCTAATTGAGTAGGTCTAGGATCGAGCTTGAAAAGATGCATTTCTAGTATGGTAGTTGATGCTAATTTTGTTGGTCCAGGGACCGCACTTTGAGAATCACTGATTTAGTCTCTCATTCTACTGATTAGGCAAATTAGGCCCTAGGAGATAAGACAACATTCTCAATAACATGTTACAAGTTAGAGAATGAAAATTACATTCTGATTCTCCTCCAGATTCTTCTGAGGAACTGATTGTAATCTCATAGGTGCAAAAAGAATAAACCAATTTTAAACTGATATAAAGTGTATTTTTAAACATTTATTTATATATTGGTCCTACTGTTTCAAAATATTTTCACCCTTCTGGTCCATGAATAAAAATCCTTATTTGAATGCAAAATATTAATGTATTCTTGCTGAGAAGCCATCATGGGAAGTTACAGAAGTGACAAATAAATTAATTGAGCATGATAGAATTCTAATGAAGTAAATAATTCTTGAAAGTGCTCTATGAAGTAGACAGTTGTGTGTTTTTGGTATTCAACCCAAAATAATTCATATTTTGCTATTTTTAATGCATTTCTGATTTCCATGCATTTTTAATTCATTTTTATTTCTTTGTAGAGAAAATAACCAGAACATTACAAATAATACTGGAAGTTGTACCAGAAGAAGATAAGTTATGAACTAATGGACTTGAGATCTTGGCAATCTGCCCAAGGGGAGACACAAAATAGGGATTTTTACTTCATTTTCTGAAAGTCTAGAGAATTACAACTTTGGTGATAAACAAAAGGAGTCAGTTATTTTTATTCATATATTTTAGCATATTCGAACTAATTTCTAAGAAATTTAGTTATAACTCTATGTAGTTATAGAAAGTGAATATGCAGTTATTCTATGAGTCGCACAATTCTTGAGTCTCTGATACCTACCTATTGGGGTTAGGAGAAAAGACTAGACAATTACTATGTGGTCATTCTCTACAACATATGTTAGCACGGCAAAGAACCTTCAAATTGAAGACTGAGATTTTTCTGTATATATGGGTTTTGTAAAGATGGTTTTACACACTATAGATGTCTATACTGTGAAAAGTGTTTTCAATTCTGAAAAAAAGCATACATCATGATTATGGCAAAGAGGAGAGAAAGAAATTTATTTTACATTGACATTGCATTGCTTCCCCTTAGATACCAATTTAGATAACAAACACTCATGCTTTAATGGATTATACCCAGAGCACTTTGAACAAAGGTCAGTGGGGATTGTTGAATACATTAAAGAAGAGTTTCTAGGGGCTACTGTTTATGAGACACATCCAGGAGTTATGTTTAAGTAAAAATCCTTGAGAATTTATTATGTCAGATGTTTTTTCATTCATTATCAGGAAGTTTTAGTTATCTGTCATTTTTTTTTTTCACATCAGTTTGATCAGGAAAGTGTATAACACATCTTAGAGCAAGAGTTAGTTTGGTATTAAATCCTCATTAGAACAACCACCTGTTTCACTAATAACTTACCCCTGATGAGTCTATCTAAACATATGCATTTTAAGCCTTCAAATTACATTATCAACATGAGAGAAATCACCAACAAAGAAGATGTTCAAAATAATAGTCCCATATCTGTAATCATATCTACATGCAATGTTAGTAATTCTGAAGTTTTTTAAATTTATGGCTATTTTTACACGATGATGAATTTTGACAGTTTGTGCATTTTCTTTATACATTTTATATTCTTCTGTTAAAATATCTCTTCAGATGAAACTGTCCAGATTAATTAGGAAAAGGCATATATTAACATAAAAATTGCAAAAGAAATGTCGCTGTAAATAAGATTTACAACTGATGTTTCTAGAAAATTTCCACTTCTATATCTAGGCTTTGTCAGTAATTTCCACACCTTAATTATCATTCAACTTGCAAAAGAGACAACTGATAAGAAGAAAATTGAAATGAGAATCTGTGGATAAGTGTTTGTGTTCAGAAGATGTTGTTTTGCCAGTATTAGAAAATACTGTGAGCCGGGCATGGTGGCTTACATCTGTAATCCCAGCACTTTGGGAGGCTGAGGGGGTGGATCACCTGAGGTCGGGAGTTCTAGACCAGCCTGACCAACATGGAGAAACCCCATCTCTACTAAAAATACAAAATTAGCTGGGCATGGTGGCACATGCTGGTAATCTCAGCTATTGAGGAGGCTGAGGCAGGAGAATTGCTTGAACCCGGGAGGCGGAGGTTGCAGTGAGCCAAGATTGCACCACTGTACTCCAGCCTGGGTGACAAAGTCAGACTCCATCTCCAAAAAAAAAAGATTATATATATATATATATGTGTGTGTATGTGTGTGTGTGTGTGTGTGTGTATATATATATATATATATATACACACACACACACACACTTTTTATATATATATATATATATATATAGTGGAACTTACAAATGAGAGTAATATAATGATGAAATTTTGAACTGTTATTTATAAACATCTAAGGTAAAATGGTTAGTCATGGCCAGAGTATGTTTCATCCTTTAATTTTTGTCCATTTGAAAATAAGGATTTTTGAAAGAATTATACCAATTAAAATTATTAAAGGCAAACATAGAATTCATAAAAAATTGTCCAAAGTAGAAATGATGACCTATAATTTGGAGCATTTCCAATTCAGTAATTTCAATTTTGCTCTTGAAAACATTTAATATATATCCAAGACTGACATTTCTTTAGCTGAACCTAACGTTTGGGTCTCTGAGTGAATTTATAATAACTCCTTCCTTCCTTAGCATAGGGTTTTCAAAATTTGATTTATAATTCCTATTTCCAGTAAATATTGTTCATTTGTCCACATCTCTCCCTATGATATGTTGCTGGAGGTAAGAATTTCTTTCATATTCCTATTTTTTTTTTCCCCATAGACTAGGCTCATAGAATTTAAACAAGCAAATTTTCCTGAGCTTTTTCTTGCCAAATGAAAGAAGACTGGTAAATTCTCATAGAGAGGTTTGTGTAGTTCTTGGCTCTTCCTGGGGTTAATGTGCTTATATTCACAGTGGCAAATTGGTCTCAGACTTTAATTTATTTATTTTTGATTTGAATTTCTCTTTAAAAGTATCAATTTAAAAGGTAACTAGAATTATTCTTTCTCATTTTCAAAAGTGATTTTTGCATTATTAAATTTCCCTGCCATTGTAATGCCATTTCACGCAGAAAAAAAGTCAGCCAGTAATTAAGAAAAAAAGTGATGGAGATTAAGTAGTATTTTGGCTTATTTTTAGGACTCATCATGAGAAGACACAGTTCCTTTAATCAGGAAATTAATATCCATAATTTTCACTCAAAATTGCAGTATGTAAAGCAGATTCTCAAAAACTCTCCTGAACACTTATTTATATATATGTTTTTATATAAGTAAAATTTTTCTCATATTTTTATACGATATGCACACACACACATACATGCACATACTACTTACTACATGTTCTGTACTTGTACTTTGTACCATGCATATTCAAATGTTTATATACATAAGTTTATTATAACATAAACAGTAAAAGTAATGAATACTGTTTAAAATAACTAATATAGTATTTTTTAATTTTTGTGGGGATGGATTCTCAAATACTTGTGATTTTAAAAGATTCTAAAGCTAAAACACAACTTGATTTTAAAAAGAATGATTCTCCTTACACAATTATAAATATTTGCAGTAAATATTTTCCTTATAATACTGTTTTGACCCCATTTAAAAAGTATTAGATTATATTCCTTTGATCCAATGAAAACTGAACCTTATAAATGGTTAGCTGAAAGTAGACCTTATTCTTGTCCTTCTTTAGAAGAGTAAAGATTTGTCCTAGGGAAGATGGCTGACTTCGGTTCCCAACATGCGTATGCATTTAGACTGTAGCTCCTCAGCCCTGTGGACACAAAATTTGGACAGCTTATTAGGTTACGTTAGCAATGCATGACGGTTTCTCCAACACTAAGATATTCACGTTGAAACAGATTTCCTGTTCGTCTTATGTGTCTGGTAAAATTGTTTCCCCAATTACAATTTGACATATCAATAGAGGGTTAACAAGAGTATAATTACATAACAGAATTCCTCATGAACTGTAATCAGTCTACAGGAAAATCATTATTTTATCTTGATTTGCAGATGAATATACTGCTAAGAAAGGGAGCAACTCTGACCTTTGTTAAAGTTGATCTTTTGTAATTGAGGTATAAGGTATGAAAAGATAAAAAACCGAAGGCCAGAGAATCAGGAAATGAAAGATAGTATGGACTGAAGGTAACAATATTTTAATGTTATGCAATATAGTCAGAGAAATATTAAAAATTAGTTGTTTGCTGTGCATAGGTGGATCTCGCAGGAAGCTAATGAAACCTAAGCTTCAGTGCCTCTCACTTAGACATGTTCCATTCGAGGTCCTGAACCTAACTTTGTATTAGGAATTCTGTACTAATTTTGTTGAAGAAGACCAGCAAAGTTGTGTACACTTCTACCCCCACAAAATCTGCATTGTCCATGTGAGTAAAGTAAAATAATTCCTGTTATTTTTTTCTGTTAGAAATAAGTATGGAGGATATGTTTTTAAAAATTTATGAGTTAATTGAAATATCCATATATAACAAGTGACTTTCTCACAATATATATGATGTGATATATAGGGAGATAGTTTCACTTTCATCATATTTTATACGTTGATTCTGAACTATAGAAAAATAATAAATGGGATTTTAATTATAGCTCTTAGTTGGGAAAGAAATATAGAGAGATGTGGGATTTGAATGCCCATGAAAGACATTTTATTTTACTTGAATATATTCTTGCTTCACTTTACCCTCCATAATATGTTGTACATTAGTGCTGATCAAGTTTACAGAGTTACATTTTGCTTTCCTAACCATTCAGTCAGGAATTAAAATATGGCATTGTATAACAACTGGGAAGAAGCTCATAGTGGATATAAATTAGAGTAGATAATGGGTCACCTTGATAGCCTCTGTTTACATTACTTGTATATGGGCAAAATAATTATTACCTATACGTGTATTTAAGCTTAATTTTCATATAAACAGTATTTTTAATCTATGTTAAAATAGATAATATCTAAAAGTGTGATCTCTAGGTAGTCCTTAGTTTATTAGTACTGTACTTCAAAAAGATTTTTAAATAGGTCCGGCACGGTGGCTCATGCCTGTAATCCCAGCACTTTGGGAGGCTGAGGCGGGCGAATCACCTGAGGTCAGGAGTTCGAGATCAGCCTGGCCAACATGGTGAAACCCTGTCTCAACTAAAAATATAAAAATTAGCCGGGCGTGGTGGCAGGCGCCTGTAATCCCAGCTACTCGGGAGGCTGAGGCAGGAGAATCACTTGAACCCAAGGGGCAGAAGCTGCAGTTAGCCAAGATCGCATCATTGCACTCCAGCCTAGGGGACAAGAGCGCGAGACTTCATCTCAAAAAAAAAAAAAAAAAAAAAAAAAGATTTTTAAATAATAGCTAAAGGTATGCTCTCTAGGTCATCCTTAGTTTATTAGTACTGTACTTAAAAATTATTTTTTAATAGTCAATTTTGGGAGATAATTATTTCTTTCCTTATATTTTCCAATTAGTTGGTGTCTAAAAATAAATGTTTTGTCTAATTTTAGATCAGGTATACATTCACAAAAGCATAAATCATAGTCTCACAGGAAATTCACCAATTTTCCATATGTCGTGAGATAACTGTCCTTTCTACAACCTCATAACAATGAATTTATATAATTACCTAGATTTTCTTAGTGTGAATCTACCCATTAGTTTTATTTTCTTGGTAGTTATTTTTTTCCCTCCTCTCTGTTACTATTGGCCTTAAAATACACAGAGGACGGTTACAGTGTCCTAATAGCTGTTACATGTGTGTGTTTCAGCGTACTTGAATCAAGTGTACATTTATAGTACCAATAACCGCCTTTACAGCTTTACAGTTAACAATTCTCTCACAAAACTGTAGAGCATTAGGCATCTGAGAGCCATAGAGGGCCAACTTTGTTCCAGAGTGAACATGCTTTTTTTCCTCAACATATACACTACTGATTTTTTTTAAAAGTATGACTTTCAAGTGAATTAATGTATTGGTTAGGAGAACTGCTTGCTAAGTCCTTATTACCTCTTGTTAAAGCCTCAGAAGGCCGTGCTGAAAGCCAGAGGGGAAAAAAAGAGTAATGCACAGGTATCTCTTTTGCAGTGGTGACTGTATTTTGAGTACCTTGTGTGACAGGGTATTATTACAGCATCTTGTGGGAAAACCTATTAGGCCTTTGCATGTTAAAGCTGTATAATTTGTTGGGTTGTGAGTGGTCTGACTTAAATGTGTATTATAAAATTTAGACATCAAATTTTCCTACTAACTAACTTTATTAGATGCATACTTGGAAGCACAGTCATATCACACTGGGAGGCAATGCAATGTGGTTACCTGGTCCTAGGTTTGAACTGTCTTATTTCAAAAGATTTCTGAATTAATTTTTCCCTAGAATTTCTCCTTCATTCCAAAGTACAAACATACTTTGAAGAATGAAACAGATTGTTCCCATGAATGTATGCTCATACTCGACTAGAAACGATCTATGTTAAATGACTGTGTATATGAATTATTTCAAGTACTACCCCAAATAACTTTCTTATTGCTCTGAAAGAAGAAAAGCAATGTAAATCACTATGATTATTGCACAAACAACCAGAATTCTCCAACAATTTTAAGTAATCTGATCCTCTTCTTGGAGAAAATTGTTACCTAATAGTTTTTCCTTATGAATGTTATTACTACTGGTATAAATCAAATTTCTATAAATTTCCTACTTAAGTCTTAAGAACTGGGTTCTTCCTTTGATGTTATTCATGTTCAGAAAGGAAACAACACTTTACTCTTTTAGGACAATTCCTAGAATCTATAGTAGTATCAGGATATATTTTGCTTTAAAATATATTTTGGTTATTTTGAATACAGACATTGGCTCCAAATTTTCATCTTTGCACAATAGTATGACTTTTCACTAGAACTTCTCAACATTTGGGAACTTTGCAAATATGAGCATCATATGTGTTAAGGCTGTATCATTTAATGCTATGAGATACATTGTTTTCTCCCTATGCCAAACAGGTGAACAAACGTAGTTGTTTTTTACTGATACTAAATGTTGGCTACCTGTGATTTTATAGTATGCACATGTCAGAAAAAGGCAAGACAAATGGCCTCTTGTACTGAATACTTCGGCAAACTTATTGGGTCTTCATTTTCTGACAGACAGGATTTGACTCAATATTTGTAGAGCTTGCGTAGAATGGATTACATGGTAGTGATGCACTGGTAGAAATGGTTTTTAGTTATTGACTCAGAATTCATCTCAGGATGAATCTTTTATGTCTTTTTATTGTAAGCATATCTGAATTTACTTTATAAAGATGGTTTTAGAAAGCTTTGTCTAAAAATTTGGCCTAGGAATGGTAACTTCATTTTCAGTTGCCAAGGGGTAGAAAAATAATATGTGTGTTGTTATGTTTATGTTAACATATTATTAGGTACTATCTATGAATGTATTTAAATATTTTTCATATTCTGTGACAAGCATTTATAATTTGCAACAAGTGGAGTCCATTTAGCCCAGTGGGAAAGTCTTGGAACTCAGGTTACCCTTGAAGGATATGCTGGCAGCCATCTCTTTGATCTGTGCTTAAACTGTAATTTATAGACCAGCTAAATCCCTAACTTGGATCTGGAATGCATTAGTTATGACCTTGTACCATTCCCAGAATTTCAGGGGCATCGTGGGTTTGGTCTAGTGATTGAAAACACAAGAACAGAGAGATCCAGCTGAAAAAGAGTGATCCTCAATATCCTAACTAACTGGTCCTCAACTCAAGCAGAGTTTCTTCACTCTGGCACTGTGATCATGAAACTTAGTAGAGGGGATTGTGTGTATTTTATACAAATTTAATACAATGTCTTACATTGATAAAATTCTTAAAGAGCAAAACTGCATTTTATTTCTGCATCCACATTCCAATCATATTAGAACTAAGATATTTATCTATGAAGATATAAATGGTGCAGAGAGACTTTCATCTGTGGATTGCGTTGTTTCTTAGGGTTCCTAGCACTGATGCCTGCACAAGCATGTGATATGTGAAATAAAATGGATTCTTCTATAGCTAAATGAGTTCCCTCTGGGGAGAGTTCTGGTACTGCAATCACAATGCCAGATGGTGTTTATGGGCTATTTGTGTAAGTAAGTGGTAAGATGCTATGAAGTAAGTGTGTTTGTTTTCATCTTATGGAAACTCTTGATGCATGTGCTTTTGTATGGAATAAATTTTGGTGCAATATGATGTCATTCAACTTTGCATTGAATTGAATTTTGGTTGTATTTATATGTATTATACCTGTCACGCTTCTAGTTGCTTCAACCATTTTATAACCATTTTTGTACATATTTTACTTGAAAATATTTTAAATGGAAATTTAAATAAACATTTGATAGTTTACATAATAAATGTCGTCATGTTTTGCTTTCTTTTTAAGCAGTGTATATTCATTTAAATTGAAGGCCTTAGTTTTAATGATTGATTGAATTTATCTATTACTGATTCCCCAAATTTGTTGGAGCATCCCACTTTACACCAGTTTCCTGTACTAAAAACTGGAAGTGTTGGCAGACCCAGTCTCCTGGAAACACTCTTCTTTTCTTTCTCATGGTCTACATCCATCTGTCCTCTGGTCTGAAATATCTAGCTCCTCTTCTATTTCCACCTGTACAAGTTCAAAATCTTTTCATTTCAGGCCTTTAACAAGAATTTTGTCTTTTATCTCTTTACACTCTCAACTGTTTCCCCAGAATGTTCTTCCTGAAACTCAAATGAGGTCAAAATTTTCAATGGTTTCACATTTATATATATATATATATATATATTTTATTTTGTGGATGGATAAAATTCAAACTCCTCCATGTAACACATAGGGCTTTCCATCACCTGTCACCTTTCTTTCTCCAGCTTTCCACATTCTCGGCAGCCATATTAAATGTGTTCTCAGTGGTTCAATAGCAACAAAATATGATGCCATTATTTCTTTTTACACACTGAATACTCTTACAGGAATTAATTATATTTTCCTCCCCAACTCCCATCTCCTTATTCCACACACAGTTAACTTCTACCCAACATTTAAGTTCAAAAGTAACCTCTTCCAGAAGCCTTCCCCAAGTTGCTTTAAGACCTGACACCTGAACGCATTCATCATCTGGAGCACATCTTTTTTGTAGAACTCATTGAACACTGCTGTAATTGATTTACTGGACTCACTTTTCTGCCTGAATTTGCTGATTTTGTCTTTCGCCAACTGAAGCATAGTAGGTGCTCAATTAATATTTATTAAATGTATAATTTCAGTGCATGCATGAATAAATGACATTCATTAGGTTGCAGGGTTAGCTTTTTTATGATTAGCATAGAAGCAGGTTTTGTTACTCCTAAATTTAAGCAATCCATTAGCTTCTATGGAAACAGATTTTCTGTAAAAGCTACCTGCCAAACAAAAGCAAGCTGACTGGGAAGTTTGAGTCAGTCTCTCTTTTTCTCTACCACCACAGGTAGGTAGGTCCTGATGAGGGAAATACTCAGACAAATAGCCTATTATGAATTATTTAGGCCCCTACATTCTTGATACAGTATCATTTTCATATATCTTGACAAAAAATAATGGTCTGATATGTAGAGCAGAAAAAAAATCTAAATTTTTGATGACCAAATTTTACTTGGAAATAGACATGGGAGATTAAATAGCACTTTTCCTGGGGTAAAATGTTTTGGGAGAACAAGGAAAAAAGAAACCAACAACGTTGGCACCTATTAAATTTATACAGTTTTGAAAATAAATGCAATCCATGAGATATGTAGATATATTTATTTAAAAATTAATAAATATGACATGTATTGAATTAAAATATATAATGTCTAGTAATTAGTCTTTAAATTGTCATTAGGCTTTTAAACATGCTGGTTCAGGTTCAGATAGACTTTTGTAACTGGAATACATCTAAACATTTTTTCTTAAATTTTTAGGCAATGTCTAATTTATAAGGATTTGAGATGATTACACATGCTGAGACAAGCAGGCTTTGGGTGGGTAAGTGTACTGTTGCTTTTGTCTCCACATGCCCTAACAATTACATTTGCAGACTCCCTAGAGATCTGACTTTGAAAGTCAGGCCTGTTTTTTTGTTGTTGTTGTTTTTGTTCTTTTAATGTTCTTAAGCTTAAGAACACCTGGTCACTAGTGGGCAGTGGCTAAAACTATGATCTAGAAAACATTTGAGGTTTGAAAGAATTCAGAAGTAAAAATATAATTAGGATTCAATTCCTTCAAAATTTTAGCTTCTAACATTTATTAATCTCTGAAAGGCATAAAACAGGATTTTGGAGGTGTTAATGCAGGCTAAACACTACAAACATTGAAATAACTCTCCAGCTACGATAAAATAACTTAGTAAGTGTAAATGAAGATAACCCTAAGAGACATATGGGAAAGTTATTTTCCACTAGTTTTCATTTTTATTGAAAACAAGATAAACTAATTTTACTTTTGTGATGTAATTAACATTGTAACTGTATAACATATCATTATGATCATATGTTTTGTTTCCTAAAATCTAAGGACACCATAAAAATTTATTTCATGTTCGGAATGCTGCCTTCAGCTTACTTAATGTTCTCTTTTTAATTCTCACATTGCCATGTTCCTTTAATAATTTGTTACTCAATGATCTACAGTCAAAATTTAGTTCTTCGTTCATTAATTCAGCAAAAATTCACTCAGCACTTCCCGTATGACAAATCAATATTGTAAATGCAACAACTAACAGTTTAGATAGTGCCTCTGCCTCATGAACCTACCGTCTAGTTGGGGGGAGAGATGCTTTTTCTTAATCAGTCAAATGTGTAGTCACAAATTAGGATTAGTCTCAGGTGCTGTAAGACAGTACAGCCAGGTGGATGTGATCTGGTCTGGGATGTTGGCAAAGGCTTTCCTGAAGATGTAGTATGAGTTGCTATTGAAGGATGAGTGCACATTAACGAGATAAGAGGAGGCAGGGTGAGGAGTGTTACAGGCCAAGTGAATGATGTGACAATAGCTCTAAGCCAGAATAAAATAAGCAAGGCTTGTTTAAGAAAACAAATGAAAGACCAGCACAACTAGAGTATAGGAGCAAAGTACAGAATTCACTCTAGGAGAAGCAAGTGTAGAGCACTTATTAGGCAATATTCTAGATTTCAGTATTTACCAATATAATGGAGATAGCATAGGCAAGTGAAATATGTACATATAATATAAACAGTGAACTTTATCAAAATTTCAAATATTTCCTTCTCACATGTACATAGAATTTTTTTAAATAGTAAAAAAAAAGGTTTGAGTTTTATTTATTTTTTAAAAAATCTTATATTTTACCTTTGTAAACTGCAATGGGCTTAAGACACATATTTGGAAAGAGAAAATAATTGGAGGAATTATATAATTAAGAAATGTGGGAAATTTTATTTCTAGGAATTTTACCATCGTCTCTCCTTAGCATGTTTCCCTCCTCTCTTCCAAGTTAGATTATATCTGATCTGCATTGTTAAGTACTCACTGATTATTATCTCTAACATCTGTGATTTTTAAAAAATAAATACTCTTCTGGTGTTTTGATTTTTTATTCTAATTTTAACTTCTAAAATTTATTTATTTATTGAGACACAGTCTCACTCTATTGGCCAGGCTGGAGTTAAGTGTCACAATCTCGGATCACTGCAACCTCTACCTCCCAGGTCCAAGGGATTCTCGTGCCTCAGCTTTCTAAGTAGCTGGGATTACACGTGTGTGCCACCATGCCTGGCTAATTTTTGAATTTTTAGTAGAGACAGGGTTTCGCCATGTTGGTCAGGCTGGTCTCGAACTTCTGATCCCAAGTGATCCACCTGCCTCAGCCTCCCACAATGCTGGGATTACAGGCATGAGTCACCATGCCCGGCCTAAAATGTATATTTTGCCCACATGAAAACACTAAACAAAATCTAATTAACATGATATGTTATTAACAAAGTTATTGTCTCTCAAGTCAAGGCATTTATTTGATTTTAATGGTTTACTATGAAAATCGTCAATATAATAAAATTATTTAAAGCTTTTTCTGATTCTTTAGAGACTCAGGGAATGATTTTTTTTTTCATTTTTTTCTACTCTTCATAATTCACAATAAAAGAAAAGTGGCTCTTGTAGCAAAAGAACAGTAATTTTGCTTAAGGAATAAAAAAATAGAGAAAATATTATTTTAAATTATTTAAAGAAAGTTTCCATGGAAAACAGGGAATTCTATGATATAGTTTTCTCATACTCAAATTTCCCTTACCTGAAATGTTATTGCCAGATGTTCTTCTATGCATTTTTCGTGATATATTGATTTCCTTAAAAGAATAATTTGATATCATCCAGGTGTGCCTAATGATAAGAAAAAGCTAATGTAGAAAGTCTACAATTATTAGTAAAACGCTTTTTCAAATTACAGCTCTCAGATTTCAGTGAAAGAATATTGAATCAAAGAACTGAAAGGGCAGAAGAAATTGAACAATGGTTCAATTTTGTAATAGATGTTATTTATCATTTTTATTAAACTTTGTATTAGCTATGTGCCTTGTATTGACTAGGATACTCCTCACCTGTGACTATGAATAAGACAGATGACAAGCCTTACTTCCATTTTTGGATTAAGAAAATGAGTCCAAAGTAAGTAAAATGGCTTGCCTAGAACAACAGAGAAAATCAGAGGTCAGAGCAGATTTTGATTATCAAATGACTCAAGCTTCAAACTGTTGAATCAAGCCATCTCTTAGGTGAAGGCAATTACTTCGTTTTATTTATAAGGCAATCAATTATTAAATATTTTGTATCTACTATATGATTAATAATGAATTTTATGATGTGGGGAATGTACCATGATTCTTCAGCCCTAGGAACTCACAGTAATTCAGCTTGGATAAAGATGAATCTATAAAACCACAGAAATACACAATTTAATACAGTGTATGATTAACTGGAAACTGTGTGTTATAATTGTAAATAAGTTAATGGATATGACATGCTGGGCTTCGCTTTAGTCCTTAAATATTTGGAGGTGATTGACAGGGGGGGTAGAAGTTGATTTCAGATGATGATATATGTGTGGTTTACAATTTCAGTAAAGACATATAGTAAAAGTGGACCATGCTTTTGGTTTATAAAAGAGTTAAGTCCAAGTAGACTAGAGAATAACAAATATGAAGAAGTTGGTTGTGTTATTTATATTCACTTATGACAGAGCCTTTAAAACATGAAAAAGAATTTGATCTGAAGACGGAAGTCACTGAAGGTATTTTGGGCAGGAATAATGTGGTCAAAGTGGCAACTAAACAAGATTATGTTGTCAGCTCTGCTGGAGAGATTATAAGGAAAAAATCTAGAATCAGCAAAATATAGCTGATGAGCTTTTGCAATGAGCAGGCATGAAGAAGTCTAGATTGGGATTAGTGATGAAAGCAGATAAATAAAACATTTGTGAAGAAAAAACCAACAGGACTCTATGCCTAACTTACTAGAATAAGAGGAGGATGAGTCATTGTGACTCTGAGATTTCAGCTGAATGAGTTGATGATTAGGGTCATATGTGACTGAAACAGGCATGCTTGGTGATAAACTTCTGATTTCCCTTTATGGAATGGTTGGAGATTGGCACACATTTCCATTTGTGAAGTCCTGAATTTGGGGTGGTGAAAATTCCATCGGGGGCCAGGCACAGTGGCTCATGCCTGTAATCCCAGCACTTTGGGAGGACAAGATGGGTGGATCACTTGAGGTCAGTAATTCGAGACCAGCCTGAACAACATGGTGAAACCCCGTCACTACTAAAAATACAAAAAATTAGCTGGGCATGATGGTGGGTGCCTGTAATCCCAGCTACTCAGGAGGCTGAGGCAGGAGAATCGCTTGAACCCAGGAGGCAAAAGTTGCAGTGAGCCGAGATCATGCCATTGCACTCCAGCCTGGGCAACAGAGACAGACTCCATCTCAAAAAAAGAAAAAAATTCCAGCTGGATATTTCCCCTGATTATTAGATTACAGGGCAAAAGCCAAGGTGAGAGGACAGGATTCTAGATACACATTGTTAGTGTTCTTGAGGAGGCTAGTAACACTCTTTTCCACTGGGTCTATTAATCAATTAAGACATATATCTAAATTATAAGGCAGATAGAAGAACAAAATACCACCATCATGCAGATACAGCTAACACAGGAGAATATGACTCATAGCTATGGACAAGTGGACTTTCTAATATTGAACTCTAGGGTTAAAAAAATGTGCCCATCTAACTATAGGCAGCCTTGTACCATTCAAGCTTTTTCCCACGGATCCTTGACCCTATAAAACTTATAGTGTGAATTAATGCCCAGTAGAATTGATGTCCTCTGTGGTCAGGCTGCTTCCCAAGAAGAAAATACATATCATCAGTTGTTGTTTTTTTTTCCACCAAACTCACCTGTAAGATTAAGACACTACTGTTCTAGAAAGAGGCCAAGAGTATTTCCTTAATGTAGCTCTTAATGAAAACAAATAACAGGCATGCAAAAGAACCATCTCCTCTTCCCCACCTTATCACAACTAGGCATACTCTGAGAGAGATGATACTTTGGGTTTAGAAACCATGTCTATTGCATTTTGTAGCCACAACCTAACTCAAGTAGGCTGTCTGGAAAATATTAGTCTCAACATATACTTTTTGATGAAATGAAATTGCCAGTTGAAGATGATGTGAATTGATGGCTTTCCATCAGTGAGAATGGAAAAATGGAAGCACATAGCCCCATGGAATAAGTTTGCATGAGCTGGGTAGGAAATGAAATGAGGCAGGAGAACTAAAAGGGAAAAGAGCAGTGGGCATCTACTAAGAATCTTTGGATCTAAGATGAATGTCTATTTTAGATGATGAAACAATTTATTGTAGTTTCAGAATACCTTCATTGATGTCATCTTTTATTTCTCAAATTTGTTCAAGTTGGATGGATGACAGACATCCTGAGCTTTGTGTTTCAGATATGTGGTTAGTGAAAAGATGTCAAACAATGATCGCTGTATTATCTTCGGATCCCGGAAGCAGTCAAGGACACAATTTTTAGCCTTACTAAGCTTGTTATGGTCTATTAGATTGTATTGTTTGATACTCTTTTAGATGCAAATAACAGAAACCAATTCAAGTAATTGAAACAAAAGAGGAGTTATGATAAGAATATAGTAATGTCTTGAAAAACTCTTTGTCAGGAATGCCATCTGGCCTCAGAAGGGCTGAAAATCTGGAAATGGAAAGCGATATGAAACCAGGCATTATTTTCTCGCCATTTCTTATCTCTATGTCTCTGGGTGACTGTATTCTAGCTCTATTCTTCTGTGTACTGGCTTTCTCTCTGCAATGCCTTAGGCTATACATCTTCCACAATCAAGAGAACAACTCAAAGACTCAAATCTTTAGTCACAATAACAGATACTACGTTCTAACCCCAAATAGAGTCTAAAAATTGTTCTAAGGTCCCTGCACAAGTAGATGGGTGAATGATTTTGAAGAAGTAAAATTCCCAGAGAATATAATGCCTATAACAGGTTTCCTCTACATAAACACACACCACATACACAGTTACACAAAGCATGAATAAATCAAGAAAGTGGAAAGAATATGAAAAGTGAAATGCAGCCAATAATATCTAATGACTATCAAATGCATATTATATGACTTTAGTACATTCTAAGTGCTAACAGTATGCTAACTTGTTCAATCCTCTTGCCACTTTGTGAGGTCTACACTACTATGAAGGAAGGTGGAGTTAAGTAGTTTGTCCGAAGGAACACGGTAAGTGTCTGGCACAGTTTAGACACCTTTACATAGAAGCCTCTTAAAATTATCCCCGTTCTTTGACCACCAATTGTTTTATTGTACATCTATTCATAAATATTGAAATTTTTTTGCTTATTGGACAAAAGCAGAAGAAACTGCTGTCATGGGAGAATTGATGATGAATATTACTTGGTTCTTCAGGCTATCCATTGGCCACAGGGCATACTGGCATTTGCCTCATCTAGCTGTAGGGGGATGTTAAGGGTGAATTACAATTTGGGAAGTTTTCTCACCAAGAGAAAATCCAGCAAGTAGTAAAGCAATTCAAGTCAAATAATAGGCCTCGTTTCGACAATCCTGCCATGAGGTCATAGCTAGTACAAATGATTACTAGCTACTATTTACTTCTAATTAACAATTCCCCTTTCCCCTTGGTTTCAGAAGTTTCTGTTTTGTCAGGAGAGGAGTGGCATGAGCAGTGGGCAGAACAATAGGGAGATGTGGATGCATTTCCAATTTCAGTTAGAGATTTTATCACTTCCTCAAAAATGGTTTAGATCAAACTGACAAAACATGAAAGTACAGAATTTTTTAACATGTATAGACACATTTAAAATTAAGCTCACTAATATACGTATTTATATATATTTACCTAATATATTAGTATATATATTTAATACCTAATAAGCAAATAGAGTTTTTGAATATCCATGGACCATTCACAAAAATTGAATTTCTCCTGGGACTCAGTGAAAACTAATTAAATTCCAAGAATTCAATATCTGAGAGACTGCGGCAATAATATAGCAAAATCAAATCAACAACAAAAGGATAGCTTAAAATCCTACATATCTGCCATCTTAAAAATACATTGTTGGCTGGGCATGGTGGCTCATGCCTGTAATAATCCCAGCACTTTGAAAGACAGAAGCTGGCAGATCACCTGAGGTCAGAAGTTTGAGACCAGCCTGGCCAACATGGCCAAACCCCATCTCTACTAAAAATACAAAAATTATTGGGAGGCCGAGGCGGGTGGATAACGAGGTCAGGAGTTCAAGACCAGTGCGGCCAAGATAGTGACACCCCATCTCTACTAAAAATATTAAAAAATTAGCCAGGCATGGTGGCTGGTGCCTGTAAACCCAGCTACTCGGGAGGCTGAGGGCAGAGAATTGCTTGAACCTGGGAGGTGGAGGTTGCAGTGAGCCGAGATCGTGCCGCTGCACTCCAGCCTGGGCGACAGAGCAAGACTCTGTCTCAAAAAAAAAAAAAAAAAAATTAGCCGGGTGTTACATACCTGGCTAGGTAGCACACACCTGTAATCCTAGCTACTAGGGAGGCTGAGCCAAGAGAATTGCTTGAACCCAGGGGGCAGAGGTTGCAGTGAGCCAAGATCGCACCACTGCACTCCAGCCTGGGTGACAGAGCAAGACACCGTCAAAAAAAAAAAAAAAGGTTAAAACTTTAGGTTAGGAAAAAACAGTTTCAAAATACTTAGAAGAGGATGATAATGAAAAAACAGCAAGCCAGCATTTTTAGCTTCTAGCTAAAGCAGTTCTTAGAGGGACATTTAGAAGGCAGGTGGAATGGAGCTGTGGTCACGGGAAGGAAAATAACAACGACAAAAACAAAGCAGCAACAAAACCAGGCAAGGGGCTGCACAGGTTCAGCAAGAGGAAGGATCATGAACTGAGGAAATGCTTAATAGTATTAAAAAATAATAATTTTGAACAAATTAAATGCAATAATGTATTCCATTAATATCAGTTTTTAGAAAGGGGAGTTATTAAATAGCAAATTACAATGATACTAAAGGGCTGTGATAGAAATGTATGTACCAATGAAAAATCATCAGTGCATGTTTTAAAATAGCACAGCTTCTTCAGTTATTTATACATCTGAGGTTTAAACAAGAGAGAGGAAAAAATGAAGAAGAAGAAGAAGAAGGATGGTTAGTTTTCCATGTTAGCAAGAAAAATCTGTCTCGCCTATAGAGTACTGCAATTCCCTGCTTCACTGTCCAGAGAATTTACTACTATTTTTTAGGTCTGAACAAGTATAGAACAGATTCTCTCACTTCTGAGCTTTTCTAGCAGAATCTATAACCTAATAATCTGCAGTGTCCAGGCAGTGTAATTTTCAAATAAGATACTCTCCACAATTTACTTTTAACTTGTTTTTTTTTTTTGAGACACAGTCTCACTCTGTCGCCCAGACTTGAGTGGAGTGGTGTGATCTCGGCTCACTGCAACCTCTGCCTCCCAGGTTCAAGTGATTTTCCTGCCTCAGCTTCCTGAGTAGCTGAGACTACAGGCACATGCCACCACGCCCAGCTAATTTTTGTATGTTTAGTAGAGACGGGGTTTCACCATGTTGGTCAGGCTGATCTCCATCTCTTGACTTCGTGATCTGCCTGCCTTGGCCTCCCAAACTGCTGGGATTACAGGCATGAGCCACTGTGCCCGGCCACCTTTATTACAGGCGTGAGCCACTGCACCTGGCCACCTTTAACCCTTCAGTAAATAGAGCTACAAGAAGAAGCCTTGAGATGAGCCTATTAGCTTTTTAGCTATATAATAAAACGAATGTGGCAATGAAAGATCCTTCCAGAGATGTTCATTGAATCTCAATATGAATACAGATTTTAAATCATTGGTTTATCCTATAAAATTGTTTTCCCTCATTTATCAAACCTGATTCTTATCTGCATTATACAAATGCAATGATAATTTGTATTTTTAAACTGGAAATTTACCATTGAAACCCTGATTTGCTTTATACAACATTTCCTGTTATAAATGGATTTTCCAGATTATCAATAACTAAATAAGTTATGATGTTTTATAACATGCATTAACTTTTCTTTTACTGATGACATGTTTTTCTTACTGTTTCTTAACATTATTATAATTTACTGTTAAAGAATTTCCTTTTTCCTAGAAACTGAACTTTTTTATAGATGTACTATATTACATACTTTAATTCAATAATTTAACTCGTTCAACAAACAAAAAACAACTACTGTGTCCCAGATTGAGTGTTGTGCATTCAAACATAAAGCAGTTTTTCTCAAGTAATTAACAGCCTGATGAAAGAGACCCGTAAACAGATATAAGACAGTGCTTTAAGGGCCTGATAGCGGCATGAATGGGGCATTGCGGCAGCATGATAGTAATACCTAATCCTACCTAGGGAGCATAGAGATGAGATTCTAGAGGGATGATTTAAAAACAAGGCATTAAGAGCTAACCAGGCAAAGGGGTATAGGAGGGTTGGGACTGTGAAAAGCATTCCAGCTGTTGTATGTGCTGGGCACAACACATGCAAATTTAGAATGAAAATATCATACAAAGTGCACAGGGATCTTAAGCAGTGTTTGAGGCAGAGGAGAGAGACACAGGCTGCAGACGCAGGCGAAGACCAGGTCAGATGGCGCCATATAGGACTTGGTGAGGAAGCTGTATATGATTCCTTTGGGTGACAAGCAAGGAAAATCTCTACAAAAACCCTGAGTATTTGAACAGAGTAGATTATAGAGAATCAACACATAAGAAGGGCGACAATAAAGAGGTTTGTGGCAATTGTTCTAGGCAAGACATTGAAACTGGCATTGCAAAATTATAACTGAGACTGTGAAAGGGAGCGGACCTAACCTACTCCATCTTGCTTCTAACATCCAAACTGTCCTTGTTCACTCCTAGGTGTAGGTTGAACTAACTTTGGGAGGAACTTAGTTTATAGTTTAAAACAAAGAAAATAACAGGCCTTACCCAAAACCTCCTTCTTGCCTGCGGACTAGACTGCCTTTGTAGGACTAACAAATTAGCCACAAGATTAGAAATTATAGTTTAGAAGTCATGCAGCTAGAGCCTACAAGACTCTGACTCTCCCTAAACTGCTCCTAAAATCAGTGTTTGAGATATTTTGCAGACTCTGCACTTGATGGATAAGGTGGGACCACCCAGATTGATAAACTGGCTCATCTGATCTGTGGTCCCCACTCAGGAACTGACTCAGTGCAAGAGGACAGCTTCAATTCCCTATGATTTCATCTCCTACCCAAACAATCAGCACCCTCGACTCACTGGCCTTCCTCTACCCACCAAATTATTTTTAATAACTCTGATCCCCTAATGCTCAGAGAAACTAATTTGAGTAATAATAATGAAACTCCAGTCTCCTGTACGGCCAGCTCTGAGTGAATTACTCTTTCTGTATTGCAATTCCACTGTCTTGATAAATCGGTTCTCCATAGGCAGTGGGCAAGGCGAACCCATTGGGTGGTTACAACATGATAAGCACCAAACCCAGTCTGTGGACATAGAGACTGTAATGAGGGGACGTATTGGTTGCCTATAGCTACTAAAATAAATTACCACACACTTAGTGGCTTAAAACAGCATAAACTTATATTTTACAGTTCTGGAAGTCAGAAGTCTGAAATGGATCTATGGGGCTAAAATCGAGGTATCAGCAGAGCTGTGTTTCTTCTTATTACTCTGGGGAAGGGAATTATTTCTTTGCCTTTTCCAGTGTTCCTGCATTCCTTGGCTTAAGGCCTCTTCCTTGAGTCCCTCTGGCTTCTTTCTCTGTTGTCACATCTTCTCTGACTGTGATCCTTCTACCTTCCTTTTACAAAGATCCTTCTGATTATATTGGGTTTGGCTCATTGAGATAATCCAGAACAATCTTCTTATCCCAAGAGCTTCAATTTAATCACATCTGCAAAGTGTTTTTTTGTCACCTAAGAAAACACTTTCACAGGCTTGAGGGATTAGGATGTGGACATCTTTGGTGGGCCATTATTGTGTCTATCACAGGGAGTAAATGTAAAAAGTATTTGGGATAATTTATTAATTTATGAAGATGGTGTGGGATGAGTGAGGGAGACAGTAAAATATTCCCAGGTATTTAATTTACTTAAAGAATAGAGGTGTTCCACAGACACAGGGAGGGGAACATCACATGCTGGGGCCTGTCGGGGAGTAGGGGGCAAAGGGAGGGAGAGAATTGGGACAAATACCTAATGCATGCAGGGCTTAAAACCTAGATGACGGGTTGATAGGTGCAGCAAACCACCATGGCACATGTATACCTATGTAACAAATCTGCATGTTCAGCACATGTATCCCAGAACTTAAAGTAAAATAAAATTAAAAATAAAAAAGTAAACAAACAAGAAAAAAAATAGCGGTGTTTATCCACTAAGACAAAGCATATTAGAAAGAAACTCATTCAAGTGTGAAGACTATAACGGTGAGTCATGTAGACAACTATATGTGACAACTACAACATTTAAAATTACATATGTGGCTTGCATTTTGTGGTTCACATTAGTTTTTTACTAGCCAGTGGTAGTCTAAAAAGTCCTATTCCAAATACCTTTGGCCTATGAAAGTTCAAAGCCTCTTCATGATCTCTTCAAATTCCCAGATAGTCCATTTTCATGGGACTTCCTCCAAATACCTGCCCTATACACATTGTCTGTGTTTTGCTCTACATTAGCACAATATAAAATTTAGAAGCTTTATCAGTTATTTAAAGAAAAGGATTTGTATGTGTAGAAACATTATTGACAATGTATGAGTCACAGAATCACATCATAAGCCCTGCCTTCTCTTTCACTACCCATTTTCTCCCTTAATTCTTTATTCATTCTTCCTTTTCTTCTTTCTTCTGAGAAACAAAGCAAACTATCTCTTTTTCTCCTGCTAAGTAGTTCAGTAAGCGTCTTATTCTGTTTGAGCATGCTTTTGAGATTTGTCTCTCTTCCTGAAATCAGGCAGTTTTCTCCTTAAGATCAGGTCTAGTGAATAAAGTTTTCTTCATCTTTTTACACTTGCAATACAAAGATGAAAGTCACTGGAGAGATTTTTTGTGTATTCACAGTCTAGGGGGGATACAGGGAAGGTAAATAAAAATGAAGATAGATATGCAAAGCACCACCATATAGCAATGTATAGAGGCCATGGGACCACAGAGAACAAAAATGCATATCATTAATTATGTGAATTGATGAACATAATTAGTAGCTGAATCTCTTTTTTTTTTTTTTTTTTTTTTTGAGACAGAGTCTCACTTTGTCGCCCAAGCTGGAGCACAGTGGCGCAATCTTGGCTCACTGCAACCTCCGCCTCCCAGGTTCAAGCGATTATCCTGCCTCAGCCTCCTGAATAGCTGGGATTACAGGTGCATGCCATCATACCAGGCTAATTTTTAATATTTTTTGTAGAGATGGGGTTTCACCATTTTGGCCAGGCTGGTCCCGAACTCCTGACCTCAAGCAATCTGCTTGCCTTGGCCTCCCAAAGTGCTGAGATTACAGGCGTGAGCCACCGTGCCCAGCCTAGTAGCTGCAGCTTCTTGGCTACATTCACAGTATGCTCCTGCCAAGTGACCAGGTGACATTCATTATTCACTCTACATCCAATTTTCTACTCAAAATTTAAATGTAATTTTATCACAAAACCGCTTATTTAAATAAAATTCTATGGAAAAGTGGAAACTGATCAATAAAAGCACCCTTACTCTGATTTTGGTGAGAGATGTGGAGCCACATCTATTCACCTATTCACTCCTCTCTGCTGTTACAAAATGTAGTAACCCCCAGTGGGACTTTGGGGAGCATAGTGTAAAAAACATTGTTTTGTTTTCCTGGCCCTTGAGACACTCCTCTAACTCTCCCAATTTTTCATTTCTGATAAGTCCTCTTCAGTAAATGTAGAAGGCTTCTCAACTTCCAAATATCTCTAAAATGCTGGTTTCCTGTTGCTCTCCTCCCTCTCAATCTTCCTTGTGTGTTTTTATCCAATGTGGTTTCAACTCTGCTCCCTAAAGGCTACGTTCATCCAAATTTAAACTGCCAACAGCATTCTCATGTGGACTTCAGGTTCCAATAGCAGCATACCTGCTAGATATATCCTGTTGGCTTGAGCTTCCACAAGCACTTCAACTTCTACATGTCACATTTAAAAAGTAAAGTAGGCCAGGCGCAGTGGCTCACACCTGTAATCCCAGCACTTTGGGAGGCTGAGGCAGGCAGATCACCTGAGGTCAGGAGTTCAAGAGCTCCTGGCCAACATGGTGAAACCCCAGCTCTACCAAAAAAAAAAAAAAAAAAAAAGAGCCAGGAGTGGTGGTGGCATGCCTATAATCCTAGCTACTAGGGAGGCTGAGGCTGGAGAATCACTTGAACCCAGGAGGCAGAGGTTGCAGTGAGCAGAGATCGTGCTATTGCACTCTAGCCTGGGTAACAAGAGTGAAACTTGGTCTCAAAAAAAAAGAAGTAAAAATAAATAGGTAAAATTATTTTGATAGTTATTTTATTTAACACAATATATCCAAAATATTGTTTTCTTAGTAATCAACATAGAAATTATTAACAAAATATTTTACATTTCTTTTGTTGTACTGGTGTACATTTTATACTTACAGCACATCTTATTTTGGATTAGCCACATTTCGGGTGCTTAATAGACACATGTGGCTACTGGCTACCATACTGGACACCTATGAAGCAGGTTCGCTGTGTACTGGCATCAATCGTAGGGGAGGGCTCTAAACACTTTGTTAATAACATGCACTGGTATCAATCCACATGATTCCAGTGAAACACACAAGTGAAGCAATTTTATTACTCAGAGATGGGCAGCAAGGGACAATAGAAGCCTAAAATCCATGGTAAGCCAGTCTCCTAAGGCTCAGGAACACTGCCCAGGGTGGATGGAGCCTCATATGCATGGGCCCTATGTCACACCACAGCTGAGGGACCCTGTAAAGCACTCTACCCTGGGTTTTATACCCAGGGGTAACTTGACTAGCTGAGCTAAAGCATTGCAAGCATCCATCCTGTTCTAGGAGGGTGAGAACAGAGTCCAAGCTATTCTAGTCAATTCCTCCTTATTCCAAGATGTTATATTCCCAGCACATTCTATAGTTATTCTAAAGTGAGAAAGGGAGGAAGAGCTGGGTTGTAAGGCCACCAGAGGCCTTGTTCTGCAACATCAAAAATATAGATGCGCATAGTGTACGTAACCTGCATTCAATATTAATATTTTATTTTTAGTATTTCTCTGGAATTGATGACCTTAGCACAAACATGGAGTTGCATTTTGAATGACACTTAACCAGGAATACATTCTCACCACAGCTGCCTAACTATTAGATGTATAACTTAGCATAAATGAACACACACTTTCTTGAGTAGGAAAAAAAATGGTTAAGCAGCAGTATAATCTATTTTCTTTCTTTGCCTAGAAAATGCCCCCAAGAAAGAACAAAAGCCACCAAGTTGAGTCTTCTTATACACATTCAAATTACAGATCTATGGAGAAACATACTAACTCTATTTAGTAATGGGAAAGCCTTTATTCAGGGAATGCTTTGAGCAGATGCACCTGGTCTGTCAATGATTGCTTATGGCAAACTGTCAATTGTTAGGAATGAAATCTATGGATGTGTGGCCAAGACTTTCTAGGAAATTTATGAAAGCTATTTCAGTATAAAATGGAGATAATGCATGATAAAAGATATGTCTTCTATGTAAGTAGTGTTGTTGCATATGTTATTAGAGATTACCTAAGTTAATCAGGGCCAGGAAGTATTCTGATCTGGTGAGAAGACATCAGGACAGCTAAACTAGGGGATCTGGACTTCTCTTTGCTTTGCCTGTGCCATGGATTACTTTAAACTCAAAATTATTAGGAAAGCCTGATACTGGGTAAAATCTCTGATTCACATGAGTTTGGTTTGATAATTCAGTTCTTTGTGGCTTTTGTTAAAAGACTGAAATATTTAATATGAAGAAAATGAGGCCTACGAAGATATGCTTGGTGACATGGTTGCAAATAAGCTCTGATTATTAAGCAAGTACTTGAAGGTCTAGTAGAAATTACTTTGTATGAAGTGGTGTTGTCCTAAATAGTAACCACTAGCCACATGTAGCTCTTTAAATTTAAATTAATTAAAATTTCAGAAAGTTGAAAAGTCAGTCCTCAGTTACACTAGCCACATTTCAAATGCTCAACAGCCACAAATGATCAGTGGCTAGTCTATGGACAATATGAATATAGAATGCTTCCGTTATTACAGAAAATTCTGTTGAACAATCCTTTTCTAGCAACTGGAGATATTATTGGGTACCATGAACCAGAAAGAGGACTTAGTTTTGAGTTAGAACATTCCAATGAAATATTACACAGATGTCTAAAAGTAGGAAATAATTTGGTATAAAAGTAGGAAAACATTTATTTTGGCTTTGAGACATGACAGAGATTGGAGAAGAGGAAAGAGGTATCAGCAGAGACCTGGAGAAATGGGAGAAGGCTATGCATTTTGCCATATGATTCTATATTTGTGAGTACTACATTTTTAATGGCATTACTGAACTTGAGAATAGGCAGGAGTATGTGTGTATGTATATGTGTGTGTGTGTGTGTGTGTGTGTGTGCGTGTGTGTGTGTGTGTATGTGTGTTACTATTAAAGGAACTAAACTTTCTTTATGAATAGGTCTGGAAGTAGATGGCACCAAGAAAAAGTAAGGCTATACAAGAAGGCTTTGGCTTTTCTACTATTTTAGAATTTATGATTCAAGCCATATACCTAGGTCCTTAAGACAGAGAGGGAAGGAAGATGCACTCCATATTTGGATTATAGTAGTACATGACGTGGTGTCTGACATGAAATAGATCATCAATAAAATGGTTAAATGAATGGATTAATCCAATACCAATTGGCTTTCTTGAAGCAACTTTTGTTCACAGACAGCTATCAGTGTGTGGAAGATTAACACAGCACAATCTTTGACTTGTTTTGATTTTGCAATGACAATGTAAATTTTGGTCAATTGCAGTTCAGATATAAGTATCTTTAGAAGCTAAAAGGTAGACTAGCTTGTACTGGAGGCCTCTTAACCTTTGAAGGTTCATAGTTTTTTTTTTTAATTTTAGATTTATTGCTGTGCTCAATACTCTGCAGTGACTAGTCACTAATCTACAGCACATCTTCAACTACAGAGTAAACCTTATAATTCTACACAGATTTTGCAGGCACCACCAAGTTGAAAAAATGCAAAAATTAGATGACATGAACACATTAACCTTTTTAACTCACTCTACGACAATTCCAGAAGCGCATCTCAGTTTTGATCCTGGCAAATGAGTACTGGGGTCTGACTTAAGTGCTGAAATTTTCTTGTCTGGTTTAGATTCAGTGTTGCTGAACTGTATAAAAAAGACTTCATTAAGTTGGCTTTCATTCTATTTATGCCTTTGTCATTTCCTTCAGTGTTTAAGTGAAAATAACACATAAGAAATCATTGCTGACAGGCCTAGAATTTGTCTTCTATTATTTATTGTGATACTCCTCTCTCCACCCACCATTACAATCTAACAAGTCAAATATCAGTGAAGGAGATGTTTAAGACCCTGTAATTCACAGCATGGTATCTGTTTTGACTATATTTAATAGCCAGCACTTACTCCAAATGAGTTAAAGCATGTTATTGTGTAAGCATTTATTTTCACTACTTTACTGCCTTGATAAACATTTTCCTACTTCTCCACTGCTTTTCTCTTCTTCTGTAAGTTTATGTCACAGGATATAACTAGCTAATGAGTAGGATTAGATACTGCACCAACCAGGCTATTAAGTGTAGCAAGTTACCACCACATTAGCAAATGGAGAAACACATATTAAACACTCTAAATACTCTGGCCTCACATTTTTTTCACATGTCCATGTCTACAAGAGGCTTTCCTCTTGACTCAGTACCTAACTTGGTTTTCTCTGTCTGAGGGATTGGCATTACCATTTTACTTATGGCTCAAGTAAGAGATTTGGTTATCAGTTTTAACTCCCCCCATTATATCCTGTACATCCATTATATTTGATAAATTTTCTAATTGTATTGCATACAAGATAATTTGAGTGAAGCTGAGTTCTCTCTCTTCACCTCCTTTCAGAATTATCTAGATTGTGTATCATCTATGGATGACTAATTAGAAAAACTTTAGTTTTTCTTTTATTCCCAGTAATGTCCTGTTTTATAACTAAATCAGTTACAATTTTGATTTTACAAAATCCTATTGTATTTGATAGCTTTTACTTCTTCAATAAGGAAGAAAATAGGAATCTGGATATATTAAAATATTGACTTTTGCCCCTTTCCTTAAATTGTCTTCTAAACTCTGATGAGAGCCTAGCCATCTATATCAAATGCACCATAAAACTCAGTTCGCATGCTAGAATTAGCCCTCCTCTAAATACAAAGTAAGGCTGATACAGTTAGATCACCTGTGCTGCAAGTACAGTCCAGAAATCATTCCACAATTCTTTCAGTTTTCTTTATAAGAGTTAAAGTTTGTTCATAGCACACTTTGGTTTGTTGACTAGTTATAATTATTATGTATTAGCTTTGTGTAATTTACTGGAGGAAATATCAAGGGATATTAAGGGGAAATAATAAACATGATATGTGCATAAAAGGAGCTATATAGTAATACAAAGGAGAATACAGAAAAGATTTTAAAAACATGAATAGCCAACTAAGGTTGTAAAATTTTATACTCAAAATTTGAATATTAGAATGAAGATAATTTTTACAGTTTCATTGACAATGACAAATAGGAGACAAGCTAACTGCCAATGATACGATAAGTAAATAAACGGGATAGCATATAGACACTAAAAATGATACTTTCCAAAAATGTTTAAAACATGAAAAATGCTCACAGTATTATGTTAAGTAAAAATAAAGAATGTATAAATCAAAATCATACATATAGTAAAAAAAATCTGAATTTATGCAGCTTTAAGAAGTTTTACCTTTCACCCTTTCATAAAAACAAATCTCTTTTGTGGCTCAGTCCTTATAACTGTAGTATGCTTGCCACTACTTGCTGGTGTCATCTGCTATGTCCTCCATCAATTTGTGAAAGCTTTGGCATCTGGCTTATATCCATCAGAATAGGCTATGTCATACTACAACAATAAATGACTCAAAAATTCTATTGATTTATAATGATAACTATTTATTTCTCTCATGCTAATGTCCTCACTTATTAGCTCTGGCTCTACTCCTTGTTGCTTTCCCTGTAGAACTCAGGGTAATGGAGCCTTCTCTCTCTGGAATTGTGTCACTGAAGAGAGAAAAGAGACATGAAAGACCACACATAGGCTCTTAAAACTTTTGCCTCTCATCAACTCACATCACTTCATGAACATATCATGGGCCCAAACAAGTAGCATACCTACTCCCAAGTTCAACAGCGTGAGGATGTGGAAACATCACTCTCAGAGGGACATTACAAGAAGGGAAATAATAATATTTAACCTTACAGTAAATAACAACACTCATCTCTCATTCCCTCAGCTATCTCAGATTAAGTAATTTCCACCACTACTCCATTTGAACCATCTATACTCATGTCATTTCTTATATATCATGGTGTTAGCCCCTTAAGAGAGTTGAAATTCTGTCTCCTCACACAACCTCTTGAATCGTTACTCAAGGAGTGATGGAAATATTTCACTTAAATGAGACTGTAGGAGATGTATATTGTTCAAAGGCAAAAACGCATTGTCATCCACTTGTAAATGGGCAGGACTTTCTCTGTGCTGAGCTAGAGTGGTCTGGTACTATTGGTGGCCTGGATCATGCTCTTTCTTAGAGATGCTAAGGCCATTTGTATTTACTTTCTCTCTCCCTTTTGGATTCCCTCCCACATAGCCAGGTAGGATGGGTGAGTGAAACGAGGATAAGACCAGTTATAGCTTAATAAAAATCGGAGATAACTATTCTGTTAAATCTCTTGAATCTTTTGTCTGCTCCTTTTGGAAAAGGTGGCCTTATCTTGGTTTGAATAGACAGAACATGTGACTACTATTTGGCCTTTGGTCTAGAAGTAGAAAGAGATTTCCTATTTAACTATTTAGTTCCAGAACTTTTGGACTTGAATATACACTAGGTTCTTTCTAAAACATAAATAATGATTGTTTTTGGCTTATGAGATTATATATGAGTTTTTAAATTTTATTCTTGTAGTTTTTCAGATCTTTCAAATATTTATTTCACAATAACAACATTATTACTTTTATAGTAATAATAATAGAATAAAATTATTTTGGAAAACAACGTAAGAAAAAGTAAAGAGTAAAGAGAAAAACTATGGGAGAATGACATCAGGGAAGACAGGGATAATTCCAAGTCCTTTGAGTGTCTATATAATACCTTGTTTACTTATATATTTAGCATAGTTCTCATGTTGAAAGATGTTAGTTCGACCTTATGGTGGTATGGTCCTAGTGATCCACAAATATCCAAAATGGTATGGTCCTAGTGATCCATAAATATCCAAAATCTACACCAGACAAATCAGCTATTTTTGTAGTTCTTGGTAAAAATGAACAGAAAAGGTAACACAAGGGAAAAGATACTACAGGAATTTCTAGGTCTTTAGGAATACTCCAATGCATAACTCTTATGAGTTATCCTGAAACATAAAGATGGAGACCATTTTAGATGGAGTCCAGAAATCTGGACTCAGCACACCTAAGAAACTGGAAGCAAAGAAGTCTGCCTATGTGTCCTATGTTGTTATTCCCTTACTGAAGTATGAATATGTTTGAGGATTTCTAATTCAGAGTACACCAACCAGTTAGGAAAGGAGAGTGCAAAACAAGACGCCCTTTCTCCAAGCCTTGGCTGCTTATTTTGAACATTTTCTTAGGCATAGAGAAGATATTTGCTTTTGGGTCTGTTTATCTAACGGAAGGAAAATGAAGAGAGATTGACTCAGCAGAGTAAAGGACTTCAAGAAGGAGATACAGGATAGAGAAAGAGAGAGAGAGACACACACAGAGAGAGATTGCATGATCTTAGGAAGGAAAGGTCCAGAAAAAGTATGCATTCACTAGCAAAATGTTAATAAGATATCCTAGGATCAAAACATTTTATTGAAACAATCTCTTAGTTGTAGAAAAGTGAAACTTGTTCTGAGCATTCTATAGCCAACACTGGAGAGAAATGCAGAAGCTAGTCACTCCATGTTGAAATGAAGAGATGGATGTTAGGATAAACGAGTCTTCTAATAGTTCAAGTGGATTGGAAGGTAGATAAGGGCTTTTGTTTCTTAGAGAAATATAATCTTCAGTCTTTATTCATCACTGTGTTAAGTTTTTAAGCCAATCCAGTGGAAGATTTATCAGCAAACTTTTATGCATAAATTTTATGAGGAATTTTAGTAAATTCTAACGTGACAGATCTCCTAAGTATCATGTATCTAAATTATCAAGTTAATAGTCACAGAATGGACAAAGCAAACATTTCAAACAGGCAATTCTCTGTCACATTGACAGGTTTACTAACTATTATTTGCATTATTTTACAAACAGCTTTTAGAGATGTTACGGTTTATTGGAGCAGTACATTGTATTATAATGGCTTTTCTGGCTATTAACAAACTGTTCTTTTGAAAACACTTCAGAAGATATTTCTGACTTAAAAAAGAAGATAAAATTACAAAAATTAAAACGTTTCTAAAGTCAAACCTGTAAGTCAAACCATGTAAGAAGCAAATACAATTCGGTATAAAAATAAAAGTTAAAGCAATCTCCAAGAGTTTTTTAAAAAAAGCATTTTTGTATTAAAAAAAGAAATCTTTACCGCCTTAATCCATTATTAAAGATGACCATTCATCCTTAGTAATCAGATCAATTTGTGCTGAAAATTTAGTTCTATATGTGTGAATTGGAAGTGATCTTATTAGTGTACTACTACGTCAAGTCTGATAAAATCCCCAATCCATTTCAGTTAAGTTTCTATTGATCTACTTAAGAGATCAATTTGGACTTGTTCGATTCCTTTGTCAAGGGATTTCATCTGGCTTGAGTTTAACGTTATGAAATAAATGTGATTTAGAAATGTAAGATGGAATAAAAAAGAGTCCAGATGAGTGCTGACAATTATTTGAACTCTAGATTTTGCATCTGAGCATTTGATAGGGCATTGCCATTTAGAAATGGGCTAAAAAAACCAGTAGGACACAGGGGTCAAAGAGTGCCTTTCAAAGCAGTTAACAGTCAGATCGTCCCTCATAGTTACCAGTGATTATGTCTTTGTGTCATTCAACAATTTGAAATCTATTTTCAATCAAAAATCAAAATACAGATTTAGTTTTATTCTTAAATGTGTTTTACATATATTTGTACTGATTTTCAGTAGCAAAATATTCCCTTCATGCCTACTTTTTAGTTTTTTTTTAATTCTTTTCTGCATTTCATCTTAATTTTCCTTAGAAAAGAAAGGATCAATGTAAAAATGTGTAGAGATCTCAAGGACAATTGCTGGAGTTGCACCTCATAGCCATTTTTTTTTCTGCCTCTTTCCTCTCCTTAGGGACAGTTTTGGAAATGGTCTTAGAATGAGATCAGCCCAGAAACATTTCTATTTCTCCCCTAATTCTATTTTCTTATTTGTAGAATGGACAAAGAACTGTTTTCAGCAGGAAGCAGTTGTCAAGACTCTGTGTTCTGCCTGGTAAAGAATAGGTATATGGATCTGCAGTCATCCTGCATTTATTCTGCATTTATTCAGTATATCAAGGAAGTTCAAAGTCAAATAGCAATAAAGAGATTGAAGTTAGAGACTAAAGATAATGCAAAAAAAGTTAAAGACTGTAATTGCTGGTTAACATGTTACCTACTGCCATTGTATCCTCCAGTTTTCAGCAAAGAGAACAGAGCCATGGAGTAAGGGATTTTTCAGAATTTATGAAAGAAATTACACTACAGATACATGTAGGAGCTTACTGGGGAAATCAAGCTCTAGAAGGAAGACGTTGGAAGATTAGAAGAAATCATCACTAAGAACTAATGAAAGCACTGGTGCAAGCAAACACACTGGATCTTGTGAAGAAATCCAAGAAGCTAAGCACACCTGTCAGCCGAAGTGGGACCACACACAGGCGTGCACATACACACACATTCTAACAGCATCAAAGCAGAGAAAAAAGAATAATGAAGAAAGACAAGGCCCTAGTCAAGGAGCCAAATATGATGACCCATTTCTGCCATGATTTTATTTCAATTATTATTATTAAATAATTATTAAAGGTTCATTTTAAAGACTTTTGTTATATTTCTCATATATGTTGGTTTACAAAATAAAAGGCAATAGGCTAGTAAAAAGGAAATTCACCTTGACATACATAGAAGATTTCTAGGTTCAACTTGCTTTACTTTACAGATGAGTAAATTGAGATCTAGCAAGCTTAAGAGATTTATCCAGTGTACAAACAATTACGTGACACTGTGTGACATAAGACAGAATTCTTGTTAGTCAACTCCCACTGTAGTGTTTTTTCTACTATGCTTTGTTCCCCTTTGAAGAGACAATTTCACTTAAACTGCTGGCCAGGTCTCATACTCTAAAACACTTTGATCCTGTAACTGGCCTTATTGACACTTACCTTAGCAAATCTACTTTTCAAGCCTTAATTCTGAAAGGCTGGATGGCCTCTTGCTTCCCTAGAGACTATGTTGTAAGAACTGGGTGACAAATATAATTTACTGTTTCTGTATAACACAAGAATATTCATATTTATCCAATTTTACCATGAAATTCTGAGAACCTGTTATATTCCATGTACTGAATTAGGCAATATGAAGAAGTGTAAAAAAGATAGGAACTGACCTCTCTGCTTTAGAATGACATAAATTTTAGGTAATTCTACTGATTCATTCTGTTTTTCCGTATCACATTCAGTTACCTTCACATCAGCTTTTTGATGATTGAAAATGCTTGGTAAAGTGGGTAGATTAAATATTCAGCTCAAATTTATTCTAGTAGACAGAAAAATAAAGGGTGTGAAAAGTGGTGAAATTAAGTGTTTTTTTTTTCAAAGTTACAATAAAAGATAGAAAAAAATTACAGCAATTGCAGGCAGGTTTCCACATAAGAAAATTCTGTCTTTTAAAACTGGAACACACAATGAACCAAACTCTATCCTAAAATGTTACAATCTGAAATTAAACTCTGCTGGTACAGGAACAATTAAAATGGGAATACCTAGATTTCTGTACTATCTAATACCTGCTTTGTCTTCCATTTTCATGAGACTTCTAAGATTACACGAACAAATCATAACCACATGTAGTTGTGCCTGTTGATCTTTCACTATTACTCTGTTTATGACATGTAAAGTAGAGTAGTAAGTTGCTGATGCTATTGGTTAATAATCACAGCAACACTTGGGAGCTTAATCAATCTTCAATTTATTGTCTGTGCAGCTTACAGTTAATGCTGCAATTAATATTTTTTCTTTTTATACATTTAAAATCACAGAAAAATTGCCTCTCTTTCTTCTTCTAGGTGGTGGGCTGTTCCTTCTATGACTTTCTGGAAGAGATCAATAAGAATAAATTATTATCAGCCTTTCCATAAGCTACTGAAGATGGAATCTACTTTTCCTGTGGATACTAGTCATTCTACAATCCTGTTTCTTATGCCAAGAGAGGGTTGAGAACAATTAGACAAATGAAAGTATAACTAATGAAAGTGATACAGTGTCAATTTCTAGGGTGTGGTTATTGAAGAATGAGCGAGCTGAGAAGGAGAGGGTGATGAATGTTTGCTGAACATACAGAGGCAATTCTCTTCCAGATTGTCACATTTGTGCTCTCCTTGATTCCTTCTGCTTCCTGTTGCTGAAAGCTCTCCATAAACACTCATGCTTCCTTGTCTATTCTGTACCTCCACTTCTACACATCCTTGTTTCCACATGACAACTAAATTAGCCTCCTTTGTTCTACCTGAAGGGAGGACATTGGCAAGTGCATGAATGTAACTTGAATACAGGTGATGCCAAAGGTTTGGCCGCATTATAGAACAAGAAAACACAAGGGACAAATAGTGGGAGAGATGCCCAGTATTCAGAGTTCCTGCTTTCTCTTCTATGATAGTATTCCCTCAACAATCTGAAGAAACAGGGCCTACTCTTCAAGTCATTTTAGGTGGTTTTGTGAGGTCTCCTTTTGTTGATTTGTCTCATAGTTTTGTTTTTGTTTTGTTTTGTTTCTTTGAGACAGAATCTCGCTTTGTCAACCAGGCTGGAGTGCAGTGGCATGATCTCAGCTGACTGTAACCTCAGCATCCCGGGTTCAAGCGATTCTTCCACCTCAACCTCCCAAGTAGCTGAGACTACAGGCACACGCCACTATGCCTGGCTAATTTTTGTATTTTTAGTAGACACAGGGTTTCACCATATTGGCCAGGCTGGTCTCGAAATCCTGACCTTCTGCTCTGCCCACCTCGGCCTCCCAAAGTGCTGGAATTACAGGCATGAGCCACCGCACCCCGCTAGATTTTTTTTTTAATGTTATATCACAGAAGAAAAGAGAAACCAACTTTGATTTGCTCCAGGTCTGATATCTTTGTTGTTTTGCTTTGGAGAGCACCATTTCGCTGAATTTAGAGAACTTACAAATTGTCAAGGAAGGGACTAAAATATGACAACATGATAGAAAAAGAGACATCTGTGAAAATATGTTTATAGAAATTGAGTCTTTTGTCACAAAGAAATGAAAGAAGAGCAGGGATGATGGATTCATGGCAACAAAAATTCTAACCAATCTGCTAGCAATGCATGGAATGGAAACATATATCAACTGAAAGTGCATGGGATGGAAGGATAAACTCTGACCCTTATTATTGTACCTTTAGTTGGTGAGACAAAGGCAGTGATTGCTAGATCTCACCTGTCAAATTCACATTATATTTTGCAATCACAATTTTTGAAATTATATTTTAATTGACAAATGGCAATTATGTATATTTGAAAGATACAATGTGATACTTTGATGTATATAAACATTAAGGAAGATTAAGTCAAGTTGATTAACATGTCCATCTCTTCATCGACTGTTTTTTGTTTGTGGTGAAAAGATGAAAAATCTACTCTTCTAGCAATTTTGAAATATACAACACATTTTTATTAACTGTGGTCACCACAGAGTGTAATAGATCACTAAAACTTATTCCTCCAGTCTAACTAAAATTTTGTACTTGCTGATTAACATCTCTCCTGTACCTATCCCTTCTCTACCTATGGTAACCACCTTTTTACCTTGTTTCTCGAAGGTTGACTTTCTTACACTCCAAGGTAGGTGAGATGGTATAGTATCTGATGTTATGTACCTGGCTTATTTTACTTAGCAGAATGCTCTCCAATTTCATCTGTATTGTTGTAAATGACAGAATTTCCTTTTATTTTGTCTGTGTGTATATATATATCACATTTTTCTTTATCCATTAATCTGTTGATGGACTCTTGGGTTGCTTCTATACCTTGGCTATTTTGAATAATGAACATGGGAGTGCAGGTATCTCTTTTGCATACCAATATCTATTCCTTTAGATACATACTAAGAAGAGGGTACAATCACAATTTTTAAGGCTCCCCTCCCATGTCACTTCTTTTAGAAAGTATTACTTGTTTTTCTTGCTATTTAACCCTTCTGTCCCAAACCTCCTTAGACACGTTTATCTTTTCCACATATAACATGCCACCAGTTACAGTAGTTTTTATTTAAGTGTATTGATTTAATGGTGATTTTCCCAAGGATCCTGAACTCCTTGAAAACATGAATTACATTCTTTTAATATTTTTTATTAAAAAAACCTATCAGTGCTTCATAGATAATTGGTACTCAATGAGTATTTAAAAAAGTTAATCTGAAAGAAAGTTGTTAAAGAAGTAGTTTGATTTGAAACAAAGACTGGCAGAAAAGGTCGAATGTACATAGATCTCTGTGGAGCATTAGAAAATGGGCAACCCAGGTGGTCAAATCTCGTCATGCCAGCTGCGAGGTTTGAGTCAGCTTCTTGCCTTTTTCCACCATATTCTCAGCTCCTATAATTCTCATCCATTCTAAGCAGATACAGATACTTAATATTCAGCAATCAAAACGAACTCAAACCAAATAATAGAAAAGAAAATGAGGGCATCAAGTGGTCCACTGTCATTCACCAACATAATTCGTTGACTTTTCAATAGAATCTAGGGCACCATATGGGTACACTGAATGAGCTTATTTCCTGAACAACAAAACCAAAGTATAACTCTGTGCAACTATGGGAACAAAACAGTACCAAGAATATGTATACTGTTGGAAACTGGCCCACAAGGATAGGAAAAGTCCATTTGTTCAATATTCATTTAACTGTTATGACCAATCATAATTTCTATAAGTAGCAATCATTAATCTAAATCTTCAGAAATAGCTCTTTAAACATTACCATAAGTACATGTAGTACTTTATTACCTTCCACAAAAAGAGAATCAGAAACAAAATGTTGACCACTCGAAGTTTGCTTTAGACACTGTCAGTGCCTCCTTACGTCTGATATTCTTCACTTACTGCCCTCATTTTTTTTTTTTTTTTTGTGAGCATGGCCACCATGCTTAATATGGCATCCCTTCTGAGTAAAAAAATTTAGTTATTAAGTCTAATTGAGCAGAGAAATGTCATGTACCTTTTAAAAGGATTTTGGAAAAAAATAAAAGAAAAGAAAGCAGGATTCAATAAACACATGAGGAAGGAAACAATTTATTGAGTGGGAGTGAGGAGCCTATGTGACAGTGCTGAAACTTGAGTCTGTAGATGTATATGTAGTCTAGTCATGGCATTCCCTAACTGACGACAGCAAGCAGGATTTTGAAATATTTGTTTAAGTTTAATGGCTGATATAGTATCTTGAATAATTGATTTCTTAAAGAAGTTTTTAACCTGAGTCTTATTGTGTCCTGACTACATGAAGAAATATGAGTCCCACAGTGGATAAATAGGCCCTGTGTGTTCTAAATGAGTAGAATATTGACCCCTACTCTTTCCAGCAGTGTGGTAGAGCTGAGTGGTGGAGATGACTTATGAGGCGAGTCTACCACATTAATTTAGGTGACATACTCTTTCCTTCACAAATAGCTTTAACATTTTCTGCTCACACAGCAAGTGCCTTTGCCTTCTTTTGAATCAGCAATAACATTTGCTCACTTCCACATATTTAAATAACCAGTTCATAAAAAGCATCATAGTTTGTTTACACATATTATACAAAAGAAAATGGAGTTTGTGTTTGTAAAACTTCACATTTAGTACAAGCCTTTCAATACTTGTTTTTAGTTAAAATATTAATTTTTGGAACATCCTCATTGGAAATGACAATACACAAAATATACAATTAAAATCAATATATGTTATATATACAACATATGTTGTTTATATAACATATGTTGTTATATATAACATATATATGTTTATATAACATGTTGTTATATATATAACATATATATGTTATTATAACATGTTATATATAACATATATATGTTGTTATATATAACATGTTATATATAACATATATATGTTGTTATATATAACATGTTATATATAACATATATAGCATATATATGTTATATATAACATGTTGTTATATATAACATGTTATATATGTTAACATATATGTTATATATTAATATATGATATATATAAATAAGAGTATTAAAGCTATGGAACCAGAAAAGAAATAATATGACAAAATTTCATTACATTGACATTGATTTTGCTGTTCATCAGCTTCAAATTCTAAGTTTTTATTTTATTTTAGTAGAAAAACTGTATATTTTTAAAGTATAGTCCTCAAAGAGAGTCTTTTGAGTGCTGAATGATCAACAATGTATCATATTTATGGTTTATTTTCTTGATGCATTCCTGTAGCCTTGGAGAGCAAAGTTCTTAATGAATATGGCCACTCTGAATTTTTTACAATCTTCCAGCTCTGTAAATATTAGAAGGCATTTTGAAAGCCAAGATTTCTCACCTTTATACTTTATGATAGAATTATAAAAGTGAGGAAGGTGGACAGGTAAGAGTTTTATTTACTTTACCATTTAGAGTAGAAAGTAAGAGATAAAAATAAGCAAAAGGCAGGAGACGTCAGCAAGATGGTGAAAGTCTCGGGCTTCAATCCCCCATCACAGAAAGTTCAGCAAACAACTATTCACAGATTAGAACGTCCTTTTGAAAACCCCAACACTTAGAAACAAGCCTTTGACACCTATGTGGTCCATAGAACTGAATGAAATCTGAATTAGAAGGATAAGAAGAATGGTCTCACTCTGACTGTGCTGCCCCTTTTCCTTCCCCAAGTTAGCACGATGCCAGAGGGAGAGGATTTCCCTGGGCTCACAGTTTTTACAGGGGGAAAAGAGAACTAGAGGTAGTCATCCAGCTTTCCTAGCATTCTGAGTTGTTTCCTACAAGCCCACTCTAGTCTCACAGGGAACACTGGGGAAAATGACATGGCTAGAATGCCTGGTGTCAGGTAGAAATAAAGAAAGGAGGCATAAGTCATAGTTACCAGCACATGGATCTTAGTAATGCCTCTGTGCTGTTGCCAGCTATGGAGCCTGATCAGAGACATCAGTCAACCTTATAGCGCATCCACAAAGCTGAGCTGGTTGCCTTGAGAAGCATGGTGGGAAGTTCAAGGTAGTTTGAGTTTCTAGACTGTTATTCTCCTTGCCTGCCTCAGAGCCTACTCCAGTGGTCCCACCCAGTCAGGGAGATGCTTGCCTCCTCCCATTTTAGAGAAGCAAAGAGATTAGACTGTCTTGATCCAGAAAGTCAAGCAGCAGCTCCATCTAGCCATAAAAACCACCCAGCTACCCTGCATAGGCAAAAAGACTTTGGCCTCAGTGGATTTCAGAGAAGTGAAGGGGCTAGACTGGCTTGAACTTGGAAGTCAAGCATCAACTCCACTCAGCAGCAATTTCACTGAATGACCTTACCCAGGCAGGAAGACTCCCATTTTCATTTAGAGAAACACAGAGACTAGTTCTGCTTGGCCTAGGAAGTTAAACAGAGCTCCATTTAACCAAAAAAAAAATCTACACAATGACCTTTCCCAAGCAGGGAGACTCTCACCTCCATGGATTTAAGAAAAGCAAAGGAGCTAAATGGGCTTGACTTGGGAGTGGTCAGCTACTCAGCTCGTAGAAAAGCCCAGCCCATGGCTCCACCCAGATAGGGAGGCAATCCTTAGTCACACATCTGTAAGGAGCATAGCCTCTGGTCCTACCTGTCCTGAGTAGCACTAACACCTAACCTTGAAGCCCATCCTACAGACCCACTCAAATATAGATCCCAAATAACTGAATTGCCCGTCCAGGGAATATATTTTGTAACTTATCTGACCAAAAGCCATTGTAGTACCCAGCCAATAGCTTTGCCCCATAGCAGAGCCCAGGTAGTGGTCTCACCGGATAGCAGCAGCCCCATCCAACGTTAGAGTGAAGGCAGCATCCTAGTCAACTAAAGAACTCAAAACAAGCTCTGCCTGCCTGGGATTGTTACAGCTGGCCCTTCCAGAATCAGAGACTAGACTAAATAGTGAGGTTCTATTCCTGCCAAAGAACACCTGAAACGGCCAGAGGGGAAGCTGTCTCCTCAAATGCACAGACAACAGCACAAGAATGCAAGAATTACCAAGAATCATGTAATCATGACACTTTCAAAAGAAACTACTAAAGCTTCAGTAATGGCCGAGCATGGTGGCTCGTGACTGTAATCCCAGCACCTGGGAGGCTGAGGCAGAAGGATCACTTGAGGTTGGGAGATTGAGACCAGCCTGGCCAACATGGTGAAACCCTGTCTCTACTAAAAATACAAAAATTAGCCAGGTGTGGTGGTGGGATCCTGTATCCTAGCTTCTTGGGAGACTGAGGCAGGAGAATTGCTTGAATCTGGGAGGCAGAGGTTGCAGTGAGTCGAGATCGCACCACTGCACTCCTGCCTGGGCGACAGAGCAAGACTCCATCTATAAATAAATAAATAAAGGACTGCAACAAAATGGAGATCTATGAAATGATTTGCAAATAATTCAGAACAATACTCATAAATAAGTTCAGTGAACTACAAGAATATATGAAGAGGAAGTTTAATGAAATTTAGAAAACATTTCATGGAAACAGCAATAACACTGACAAAGAAATAGAGACAATAAAAAAGAACCAGATAGAAATTCTAGAGATGAAGAATGCAATGACTGAACAACAGAAAAAAAATTAACAGAAAACTTCAATAGCAGATTCAAACAAGCAGAAGAAAAAAATCAGCTGAAAGAAAGAACATCTGAAATTATTCATTTAGAAGAGCAAATAGACAAAAGAATAAAAAAGAATGGAGAAAGCCTACAGGAATTATGGGACAATCAAGAGACCAAACTTTTGCATAAGGAGGAGAAGAAAGAGAAAAAAGGCCAGAAACCATATTTAAATAAATAATGACTTTCCTAATATGAGGATAGATGCCAACACCCAGGTACAGGAAGCAGAGAGAGCTCCAATTAAATTCATCTCAAATTGAGTATATTAAAACACATAATAATCAAACTATCAAAAATTAAACACATATAAAAATTGTGGGAGCAGCAAGATGTAAGAGATACATCAAATATAAAAGTGTCAATATGACTATCAGTGGATCAGTGGATTTCTCAGCAGAAATCCTAAAGGTCAGGAGAGAATGGAATGATACAGCCAAAGTCTTGAAGGGGGTGGGGGAAACTGCTAACTGCTAACCAAAAATACTTTATCCAGTAAAACTATTTTTCCATATTGAGACAGTAATAAAAATTTTCTTACACAAACACCCAAGCTTAGAGAGTTCATCATCACTATACTTGCCTTATAGGAATTGTTAAATGGAGTTCTTTAAACTGAAGCAAAAGGCTGCTAATTAATAACATGAAGCATAGTAAATCACAGAACTCAATGGTATACGTAGAGCAGAGCCATATTCAAAATACTATAGTTCTGTAATGATGGTGTGTAAAACTATTAATAAAAATTGTAGGTAAGATAAATTGCCAAGAGATATACATTATAAAATGATGTAAATTTTGACATCAAAAGCATAAAATATGTGTGTGGAGGGTGGAGAGTGTAGAGTGCGTATAACTTTCTGTTGCCTTAGCAACCACTTTTTAATGTAAGTTTAACTTTTTATTACCAGAAATAGGGCCCCGTCACACTTGGCACAGTTTCCTATACTATACTCACCTAAATGGTTCCAGCCAGTGACCAGAGATAAAAACTTAGAGGCATCTCTCCCATGTAGTAGGCTGGGCTCCCAGCTTTTCTCTCACTTATTTTGAATAGACCATTCAGACATTTGCCTGTGAATTCTAAGTGTTTACCTTCCAGTCACAGCGTAACCTCCTGGAAATAATGACTGCTTGCTTTAAAACCACCAGTTACAGCTGGTGGTTTCCCTACAGGAAAATTGTTTGGATAATGCCCTGGACCCAATAAAGGCACTGACACATGGGTCCCTTCTCTTTCTCTCTACCAGAACCCCCTCTATGTGGGTATGGCTTCCTGACATGCCATGTACCCTCCAGGGTCTGTGAGTACTAAAATCTCTTAAACTATTATGTGGTGGTTGTGTCACTGAAGCCACACCTGCAATCTGACCCCTGACTGTGAAGCCACCGAAAGGAGACTCATGCAGGTGAATCCCTGGGTGATGCTCTTCTGTCTGGACATCTGGTAGCTGCTGAAAACAATAGCTATCAACTCAAAGAGTTTTATCCAAAACAACTGATGTAGAAGGTATGATTATAGTCAAAGCTTGGATACAATATCATTGTCTGCCCACTGGGAATGGATGACTTATTTCCCGTATCAGATGGTCCAGTTGGTATCTGATGGCACTACTACTTGCCAGTATTCAATCAAGCTATTTCGCACTGGTGCCTACTTCTGCTCTCAGGTGTTGCCTTGGGGATTTGCTTGAAATTGTGGTGGCTGTAGACAGCTCTATGAGCTCTTAAAGTTCTTTTGAAGCTGTCAGAGAGCAAGTCCCAATATAATCAGGGTGTGTTTTCCTTTGTGACATCATTAGCTTTTCTTGGGATCTCAAAGGACCCTGTGCAGCAGGCCACTATTTGAATGTGTGTTGCTCCTTGTGGCAGGTATACTGTTCCAATGCCCTGGGATCTCTGTAGTGGTCGGTACTGTATTGATTATAAATGGTGAAGTCCTAGTATCTTGCTAGAGTGAGCTGGCCAGGATGGTGGAGCTCTACCACCATTTCACAGGTTATAGACAGGGGCCACCAGGTTTCAGGAAAGCAGCAATGACCCCTCAGTAATAGTTGGAAAGTGTGATATGACACTGAGCTTCACTGTGTTGGTGAAGAAGAGGTGAGGAAAATAAAAGGTAATTAATTTAATTAACTTTATATATAGAACATTAATACATACATATGCAAACACAATATTTCAATATAAATATATAATAAATAAATTGTATATATATTTTCCATAATTTGATTTCATTGGAAAGTCAAAATTCATATACTAAAGAATTTTTGTTAATAATAAATAAAAACGATAAACAGCACTGATTGGCTTTTGTGTCTCCACAATAGAGATTCTAACTTAACTTTTAACATTTGCTAAAATGCACTAATTGACCAAAATGCATGGGCTTAATTAATACCAGGACTCAAACTATAGTTACATCTGGGGTCCCACTAAATTTAAATATTCTACTTCTATATTTTGCCTGTATAAAATACAAAAATGAGTATTCCTCAATTTAACTATGGCCATGCCTACACTTCCCGTAATCATATACTCCATTGCTATAAAATATTCTATGTTGGACTTAGATTCTCTGACACAGTAAGTAATAAATTTAAAGTAAGTTTTTGGCACTTACAAATTGGATTGATAAAATGGGACCCCATAACCCCCCCAGTTAATAGTTAATATGGCCCAATATAAGTTGAAATGGGCTCCTCAAGATTAAAACTAAGTATATAAAACCTAATTATTAAAGGGATAATTCTCCCTCCTGCTTTTCCATTTAGCAACCAATCTTTCTCTGTTCCCGAATCTGAAAAAAAAGAAAAAATATATATATATATGTAGACATACAAAAGGTGCCGTACTACAGACTACTACAACCTTAATACGGTGATCCTATTCATTAGGACCCCTATACTCAATAACTAATATTATTACCATTGTTGATTCAACCCAATCAACATCTGGTACATAGTTTGCTCTTATAGATTTGGCTAACCTGTTCCATTCAGTTCCTATTTCTACGTCCTTTCACAGCTGCAGTTTGCCTCCACCTCTGAAGAAGCACAATACACCTTTCTGGGTTACCAATGGGATACTTCCCAACAGCTTTGTCATCACATACAATATTCTCAAACAAGATCTTAATGGCATCTACTTTCTCCAGGAACACAGGTATGACACTACATTAATATCCTCTTCCAAGGAGATTCATTGTTTACAACCATTAAGGTCAGTTAAGTCCAATATTTCTTAGTACTTCTGAGTTCTGGCAGCAACATATTCCTCATTTACAAATTTTACTTCTAAATTAAAATCAATAGGCACTCCTGTCAGTGCCCTCAAAAAACTCCTTCACTGTAGAGGCTTTGAAAACCTTTTGGCCTGGCACAGTGGCTCCTGCCTGTAACCCCAGCACTTTGGGAGGCTGAGGCAGGGGGATCATTTGAGGTCAGGAGTTTGAGACCAGCCTGGCCAACATGGTGAAACCCGATCTCTATGAAAAGCATAAAAATTAGCCAGGTGTGGTGGCATGCACCTGTAGTCCCAGCTACTTGGGAGGCTAAGGCAGGAGAATTGCTTGAACTTGGGAGACAGAGGCTGCAGTGAGCCAAGATCGCGCCACTGCACTCCAGCCTGGGTGACAGGGCAAAAATCTGTCTCAAAAAAGAAAAAGAAAAAAATGAAAACCTGCTTCCAGGAGTCCTGGGACCACTGATAACTGCCATTGGTTGCCCCAGGGCTTCTTATGCAAGATATTGCCCCTCTTGGCTTTATGCTATACACCATTAAAACAACAAGTGTCGGCCGGGTGCGGTGGCTCACGCCTGTAATCCCAGCACTTTGGGAGGCCGAGGCGGGCGGATCACAAGGTCAAGAGATCAAGACCATCCTGGCCAACATGATGAAACCCCGTCTCTATTAAAAGTACAAAAATTAGCTGGGCGTAGTGGCGCACGCCTGTAATCCCAGCTACTCGGGAGGCTGAGGCAGGAGAATCGCTTGAACCCGGGAGGCAGAGGTTGCGGTGAGCTGGGATTGTGCCACTGCACTCCAGCCTGGCGACAGGGCGGGACTCCATCTCAAAAAAAAAAAAAAAAAAAAAACAAAAAAAAAAACAAGTGCCTGGCTACAAACAGGGATCTCTTGAAAATAAAGACTTTCACAAATCCTAAATCTGTGATTCTCCATACCCAACTGCTCACTGTGCTTTAAGTAATAGAAACAGCACCCTACAAACTTGGCATAGTTACCAAGGCCTCTCTAAGAGGAGCCAAACCTGGGCCTTCTGGTGTATGCTACCTGAAGGAGGGGTGGCTTCCCTGGTCCTCAGTTCCTTAAAAGATGCCAGGGTGCTGGAGGAGGTCATCCTTACCCTATACCCCTTCTCTACCTGGGAAGCCCATTGGGAATAACTGAGTAAATGATAACGAGAGTTGGCAAACTATGTAGACAGCACTGCTAACCATCATACATCATGGTACTTAGTGTAATGTTGCTTCTTTCCATCCCTTAGCCACAATGTCCCTGTGTTAGGCCATTTTTTTTTTTGGCATTGCTATAAAGACTGGGTAATTTATAAAGAAAAGAGATTTTATTTTGGCCTATAGTTCTGCAGGCTGTACATGAAGCATGGTGTTAGCACCTGCTTCTGCTGAAGCTCAGGAAGCTTACGCTCATGGCAGAAAGCAATGGGGAACAAGCATGTCACATGGCAAGAGAGAGAAGGGGGAGGTCCCAGACTCTTTTAAAGAACCAGATCTTGCATGAACTAACCGAGGGAGAACTCAGTTATCACCAAGGGGATGAGGCTAAGCCACTCATGAGGGATCCACCCCCATGATCCAGCTACCTTCCACCAGATCCCACCTCCAACATTGGAAACCACATTTCAACATGAAATTTGGAGGGGACATGCATCCAAGCCAAGTCATTATGACCCTGGCCCCCCAAATCTCATGCCCTTCTCACACTGCAAAATACAATCATCCCTTTTCAATAGTCTCCCAAGGCCTTACTTATTCCAACATTAACTCAATCAAAGGTCCAAAGTTTTATCTAATACTCAAGGCCAAGCTCTTTCCACCTCTGAGCCTAATAAATCAAAAAATAAGTTATTTACTTCCCAAATGCAATAGTGGTACAGGTGTTGATTATACATACCTGTTTTGAAAGGGAAAAACCAGTCACAAAAAAAAAGAACGGGTGGCAGCAGGCTCCAAGTAAGTCCAAAACCCAGGAGGGCGGTCATTGAATCTTACAGTTTCAAAATAATCAACTTGGACTCCATGTCCCACATCCAGGGCACACTGGTACAAAGGGTGGGCTCCCAAGTCCTTGGGCAACTCTGTGGCTGCTCTCACAGGTTGGAATTAATGACCTATAGTTTTTCCAGGCTCAGGATGCAAGCTGCAAGTGGCTCTATTATTCTGGGGTCTGCAGGATGGTGACCCTCTTACCACAGGTCCACTAACCAGTGGCCTGGTGGGGACTCTGTGCGGGGACTCTAACCTCACGTTTCCCTCTGGGAACTGCCATAGTAGGGATTCTCTGTGGAGAATGCCCCTGCAGCATGCTTCTGCCTGGACACCCAGGCATTCCAAAACATCCTCTGAAACCTAGAAGGAAGTTGCTGCACCTCTTTCACACGTGCATTCTGAGCACCTGCAGACTTAATACCATGTGGAAACAGCCAAGGCTTATGGCTTGCACCCTCTGGAGCTTCATTCTGAGCTACACTTGGGCTCCTTTGAGCCAAGGCTGGAGCTGGAGTGGCCAGAATGAGGCGAGCTGTGTCCTGGGGCTAAGCAGGGAAGCAGTGCCCTGGCCCTAATCCCTGAAACCATTATCCTCCTAGGCATCTGAATCTGTGGTGGTAGAGGCCATCCTGAAGACTTCTGAAATGCCTTTGAGGCCTTTTTACCATTATCTTGAATATTAGCACTTGGCTCCTTCTTAGTCATGGTAATCTCTCTAGCCAGTGGTTGCTCCACAGCCTGCTTGGATTCTTTTGTTACCACAGGACCAGGCTGCAAATTTTTCAAACTTTTACACTCTACTTCCCTTTTAAATATGTTTCAACTTTAAGTCATTTCTTTATTACTGTATCTGATTGTAGGCTGTTAGAAACAGCTAGGCCACATCTTAAACACTTTGTTGCTTAGACATTTCTTCCACCAGATATGCTAGGTTATCACTCTTAAGTTCAGCCTTCCACAGATCCCTAGGATGTGAACACAATGTAGCCAAGCTCTTTGCTAGGGCATAACATGCCCAATAAATTCCTCATTTCCATCTGAGACCTTGTCAGCCTGGTCTTCACTGTCCATATTTCTATCAGTGTTTTGGTCACAACCAAAGTTCCACATTTTAATTCGTCTTTCTGTCTTCTTCTGAGCCCTCCAAACTCTTCCAACCTCTGCCTCTTACCCAATTCCAAAGCCACTTACACATCTTTTGTTGTCTTTATAGTAACATCCCGCTTCTGGTACCAATTTTCTGTGTTAGGCTATTTTTGCATTGCTATAAAGGAATACCTGATGCTAGGTAATTTACAAAGAAAGGAGCTTTTATTTTAGTTCATGGTTTTGGAGGCTGTACATTAAGCATGCTGCTGGCATCTACTTCTGGTGAGGCATCAGGAAGCTTACAATAATGGCAGAGGTGATGGGGAGCCAAAATGTCACATGGCGAGAGCAGGAGCAAGAGAGACAAGGGGGAGGTCCCAAACTCTTTTAAACAACCAGATTTCATGTGAACTAACTAAGGGGAGAATTCAGTCATTACCAAAGGGATTATGCTAAGCCATTCATGAGGGATCTGTTCCCATGATACAATCATCTTCCACCAGGCCCCACCTCCAACACAGGGAATCACATTTCAACATGAGATTTGGAAGGGACAAACATTCAAACCATATCAGTCCCTAATAAATGATGGAGACCAAGAAACAACGCACTTAGCCAAACTTCAGGCCATTGTGTTTGCACTAGATGCCCTGGTCAACAAATGGTTTCATCTTTATATTTATTATAAGCTATTAGGCCATTGCTTAAAAATTGTCCCCTTTAAGGCAAAAAACAAAGACAAACCAAACAAAACCTCTGGGAATTTCTTGATTTATAGACACCCAAAGAATAAATCAAAATTACGAATCTCCATATGTTCTGAGGCCACAGCCTAAGGCTTTGCTGGGATATTTCTTATTCCCTTCAAAGTTACAAGCATTACTACTACTAAAAAAAGGCACAAATTTCACTTATTAAAATATATCTTGCTAGGTTCTTGAAAAAGACATTCAATAGAACTTTCACATCCTTGATAGCTCCCAAATAACTGCTTTAATTGAGAGACACAATGATGACCTCAAAAAACTTCTTTTCTTTTCAAATTCCAAGACAACAAACACACTAAGGTTCTCCAGTTTGTCCCAGGCCTTAACTACTTTCATATACATTTTTGATCTTGCCCCCATCCCACTAACACTGGAAGCCAGATGGAGGACTCATATTCTCCTAGGATTCATTACAATAGATTGTCCCACAGACCAGGTATCTATTCATATAACCAGGGACCCATTTAAACCTAAACTTTTACCCTGAACAAAACCTCGTCAGGGGCAGCTGCACATTGTTCTATTGATTATTGGTCTTATTACTATTACTGGTTTGGGTACTTTTGTTGGTTTACAATCAGACATCCAAATCCTTCAGCAAATGATTGTTTGAACCAATTATGCTAAATACTGTGTCCTACATTAACACAAATGGGTACCCACTTGAAAAGGATACCCAGTCAGACATTCCAGATGACATTGACCTGACCCAAAATCTCTCCACTGAGATGACATTACCTCAGATGACATCATCCTAACCCAAGACCTCGATGTTGTAGTTGACTTCACTCTTTACCCTAAACCTCCACCAAGGGATACTCACAGACTGCCTTTCCTAACGCAGAAAATGGACCCAGCACATTTTTACATATCCGTCTAAATTCACTGTCTGCTTATCCTGTGATCCTGGTATACTTCTTCTCCGGTCAAATATATACCCTCACACTTCTATACCTAAAGAGAATTCTGGTACAGGTTACTAAAATTAATGGAGATTATTGCTTTCCCCAAAAGGCACCAATTCTATGTCATTAAACCCTTTAACTCCCTGAGGAGAGGACTTACCCACTCTCTGATGTCTTTTTCTGCCACCTGCCTCCAGCTTTCCACTCCAATCTTTTGCCCTGTGTCTCCACACACAACCACCACAACTACTCTTTTCCCTTACAGTCAATAATCTCCACCACTCAACTCCAATTGCCTTACTTTTGAGTATGATTCTAAGACATCATGAGATAAATTACACTGAATGTTAATAATTTTATATTGCTTCAGTATTCCTTTTAAAATATAAATTTATTAATACTAGAAGCAGGGTTCAGGCCACCTTGACCCTGTTTCCAATACTGTATCCCACTTGAATGGCTCTAGTCAATGACAAGGTATAAAAACATAGAAGCATCTCTCCCATCTAGCAGGCCAGGCTCCCTGCTTTCCTCCTACTTCCTTTAAATGGACCATTTAGACATTTGCTCAGGAACTTAAAGTGATCACCTCTGATTCACAATGTGACCTCCTGAAATTAGTGCCTATTTGTTTTAAACCTACTGATTAAAGCTCTCCACAGGAAATTTGGATAATTCTGTGGGTCCAATAAAGGAATTGACCCAAAAGTCCCTTCTCTCTCTCTCTTCTTGCAGCCCCTGACCTGTGTGTGTTTGCGTAGAGAAGGCATGCTATGTACCCCCTAGGATATGTGAGTATGAAAAACTTTTAAACTATTGCATTCTGATTGTGTCATTAAACTGCACCTGCAATCCAATCCCTAACAGTGAGACCACCTAGAGGAGACTCATGCAGGTGGATCCCCTGCTGGTGCTCTCCTGTGTGGGCCTCTGATGGCTGCTGAAAACAGTAGCTACCAATGAGTTATTAAAGAAATTCAGAGTTTAAATGAAAACAGGGAGTAAAATGTACTATTGTTGTATCAAAGTTAGTTAAGCCATCACAGTTAAGTTGTTATCAGCTTGAAATAGGCTGTCATACATATGAGATGTTCCATGTAAGCCTCATGGTAACTACAAAGCAAAAATCTTCAATAGAAGCACAAAACAAAACTAGAAAATATTCAAAGCATACTACTATTGAAAACCATCAAACCACTAAGAAAGACAGAAAGAGAGGAAGAAACAAATTCTTAATAAAACAACCAGAAAACAAGTAAGAAAATGGCAGTAATAAGTTCTTACCTATCAATAATTATCTTATATGTAAATAAGTTAAATTCTCCAATAAAAAGAAAGAGAGACAGAATGAATAAGAAACAGGACCCAGTTATGTGCTGACTACAAGAGACTCACCTCAATTTTAAGGACACACATAGAGTAAAAGTGAAGGGATGGAAAAAGATATTCCATGTAAATAGAAACCACAAGAGAGCAAGGGTAGCAACCAAATAAAACAGACTTTATGTCAAAAACCATCAAAAGAAGGGCATTATATAATGATAAATAAACCAAATCCTGAAGAGAATATAGCAATTGTAAAAATACCTTCATTCAACATTAGCACACATAAATATATAAAACAAATAGTAAAAAATCTGAAGAAAGAGACAGATTGCAATACAATAATAGAAGGAGATTTCAATACCTCACTCTCAACAATGAAAAGACCATCTGAACAGAAAAACGATAACTAAATATTAGACTTGAACAGCACTTTAAATTAAATGGATGTAATAGACCTATATGAAGCAGTCCATGCGGTAACAACAGAATACATATTATTCTCAAGAACAAACAGAACATTCTCCAGAATAGAACACATGTGAGGGCACAAAAACAGCCTCAACAAATTCAAGAAGACTGAAATTATATTGAGTATCATTTTTGACCACAATAGCCTAAAACTAAAAATCAGTAAGAGGAATTTTGGAAAAACTACAAATACATGGAAGTTAAACAAAATACTCCAGAACAATCAATGGTCAACAAAGAAATTAAAAGAAAAATTTTAAATATCTTGAGATAAACAAAAATGGAAACAAAACAAACCAAATTTATGGGATACAGGAAAAGCAGTTATAAGAGGAAAGTGTATAGCAATAAATATCTAGATAAAAAACAAAACAAACTAAAGCAAAACAGAAAGATCTCAAATAAACAACCGAATATTATACCTCAAGAAACTAGAAAAAGAAGAACACACAAAACTCAAAATTAGCATGAGGAAGGCTGTAACAGATAAATAACATGGGGAAAAGAAATAAATAATATGGAGACTAGTAAAACAACACATCCATGAAACTAAACTTTTTTAACTTTTAGGTTTAGGAGTACATGTGCAGGTTGTTATACAGGTAAACTGCATGTCACAGGAGTTTAGTGTGCAGATTATTTAGTCACACAGTTAATAAGTATAGTACCTGATAGGTATTTTTAAAATCCTCTCTTTCTTCCTATCCTCCAACCTCAAGTAGGCCCCAGTGTCTGCTGTTTCCCTATTTGTGCCTGTGTGTTCTAATTTTTTAGTTCCCACTTGATAAGTTAGAACATATGGTATTTGGTTTTCTGTTCCTGTGTTAGTTTGTTCAGAATAATGGTGTCCAGCTCCATCCATGTTGCTGCAAAGAAAATGATCTCCTTCTTTTATATGGCTGCATAGTATTCCATGGTTTATATGTGTGACATTTTCTTTATCCAACCTACCGTTGATGGGAATTTAGATTGATTCCATGTCTTTGCTATTGTGAATAGTGCCCTGATGAACATACGCATGCATGTGCCTTTATAGCAGAAGTAATTATATTCCTTTGGGTATATAACCCATAATAAGATTGCTGGGTCAAATGGTAATTCTGGTTTAAGTTCTTTGAGAAATGGCCACACTGCTTTCCACAATGGCTGAGCTAGTTTACACTCCTACCAGCAGTGTATAAGTGTTCCCTTTTCTCCACAACCTTGCCCTCACCACCATCTCTTATATTTTTTCTTTTTTTTTCTTTTTTCTTTTTTTTTTTTTTTGAGATGGAGTCTTGCTCTGTCACCCAGGCTGGAGTGCAGTGGCACAATCTCGGCTCACTGCAAGCTCTGCCTCCCAGGTTCATGCCATTCTCCTGCCTCAGCCTCCTGGTAGCTGGGGCTACAGGTGCCCACAACCATGCCCGGCTAATTTTTCGTATTTTTAGTAGGGACAGGGTTTCACAGTGTTAGCTAGGGCGGTCTCAATCTCCTGACCTCGTGATCCACCCACCTCGGCCTCCCAAAGTGCTGGGATTACAGGCATGAGCCACTGTGACCAGCCATTTTTTTTTTCTTTTTTTATAATAGATATTCTGACAGATATGAGATGGTATCTCATTATGGTTTTGATTTGCATTTCTCTAATTTTGATATAGAGAATTTTTTAACATGCTTGTTGGCCACATGTGTGTCTTCTTTTGAAAAGTGTCCATTCATGTCTTTTGACTACTTTTTAATGAGGTTGTTTCTTTTTTGCTTGTAAATTTAAATTCCTTATAGATTCTAGATATCTAACCTGTGTCAGAAATATAGTTTGCAAAAATTTTTTCCCATTTTATAGGTTGTCTAATTACTCTGTTGATAAGTTTCTTTTGCTATGCAGAAGCTCTTTAATTTGATTAGGTCTCATTTGTCAAATTTTTATTTTTGTTGCAACCTCTTTTGGCATCCTCATCATTAATTCGTTGCCAGGTCCTTGCCCTAGAATGAAATTTTCTAGGTTATCTTCTAGAAATTTTATAATTTTAGTATTACACTTAAGTCTTCAATCCATCTTGAGTTGATTTTTGTATATAGTGTAAGGAAGGAGTCCATTTTCAATCTTCCACATATAACTAGCCAGTTATCCCAGCAGCATTTATTGAATAGGGAGTCCTTTCTCCACTGCTTGTTTTGGTCAGCTTTGTGGATGGATGTATGTGTGTGGCATTCTTTCTAGAACCTCTAATATGTTCTGCTGGTCTATGTGCCTGTTTTTGTACCCGTACCATGCTGTTTTGGTTACTGTTGCCTTGTCATATAGTTTGAAGTCTGTTAACATGATGTCTCCAGCTTTGTTCTTTTTGCTTAGGATTGCCTTGGCTATTTGGGCTCTTTTTGGTTCCATATGAATTTTGACCTAGTTTTTTCTAAGTTTTTTTTTTTTTTTTTGACAGAGTCTTGCTATCTCACCAGGCTGGAGTGCAGTGGCACGACCTCAGCTCACTGCAACCTCCGCTTCCTGGGTTCAAGCAATTCTCCTGCCTCAGCCTCCCGAGTAGCTGGGATTACAGGCATGTGCCACCATGCCCAGCTAACTTTTGTATTTTTAGTAGAGACGGGGTTTCACCATGTTGGCCAGGATGGTCTCAATCTCCTGACTTCATGATCCTCCTGCCTTGGCCTCCCAAAGTGCTGGGATTACAGGCATGAGCCACCACGCCCAGCCAGAATTGTTTTTTTTTTTTTTAAATAAACAAAATTGACAAAACTTTGGCTAGACTAAGAAAAAATGAGAGAAACCTCAAATAAATTACATCAGATATGAAAAAGAAGACACTACAGCTGATACCACAGAAATACAAAGGATCAAAAGAGACTATTACAATTATATGCAACAAATTTGATAATTTAGAAGAAACAAACAAATCCCTAACACATCTAACCTACCAAGACTGATTGATAAAGAAATAGAAAATTCGAGCAGAAAATAACAAGTATGGAGATTGTATCAGTAATAAGAAAGTCTTCCATCAAAGAAAATCACAAGATCTGATGGCCACATGGCTGAATTCTACCAAATGTTTAATGAAGAACTAATACCAATCCTTCTCAAACTCTTCCAAAAAACTGAAGAGGAGGCAACATTTCCAAGCTCTTCATGAAGTCAGCATTACCCTGATACCAGAGCCAGACAAGGACATTACAAGAAAAGAAAACTGCAGGCCAGTATCCTTGATGAACATCATTGCAAAAACCCTCAACAAAATGTTAGCAAACCAAATTGAACAATATATTTAAAGGACCATCCATAATGATCAAGTGGGATTTATCCCTGATATACAAGAATGGCTCAACATACTGAAGCCAATGAATATGATACATTGCATTAACAGAATGAAGGCCAAAACACCATGTAATCATCTCATTAGATATAGAAAAGGCATTTGATAAAATTCAACATCTTTTTTATGATAAAAACGCTCATCAAATTAGGTACAAAAGGAATGTACCGCAACACAATAAAGGCCATGCAGGAGAAAACCACAGTTAGCATCATACCTAACGGAGAAAAAGTGAAAGTCTTGCCTCTAAGATCTGGAACAAGACAAGGATGCTCACTCTTGGCACTACGTTCAACATAGTATTGGAAGTCCTTGCCAGAGCAATTAGACAAGAGATGAAAATAAAATACATATAATTAGGAAAGTAAGAAGTAAAATGGTCACTCTTTGCTGATGACATATTCGTATATATAGGAAACCCTACAGACTAAATTAAAAAAAAAAACTTGTTGGAATTAATGAACAAATACATTAAAGTGGTAAGATACAAAAATCAACATGCAAAAACTAGTCAAATTTTTGCATGCTAATAACAAACTATCTGAAAAAGAAAGAAAACAATCCCATTTATAATAGTGACAAAAATTAACATACTTAGGAATAAATTTAATCAAGGAACTAAAATATGTGTACACTGAAAAGTTTAAAACATTGATGAAAGAAATTGAAGAAGACCCAAATAGATGGAAAGATATCCTATGTTTGTGGATTGAAATAATTAATAGTTAAAATATTCATTCTACCCAAGGTGATTTATAGATTCAATGTAATTACTGTAAAAATGTCTGTTTTATTTTTCATAGAAATAGAAAAAAAAATGCTAAAATTCATATAGAATAACAACAAACCTTGAATAGCAAAGGCAATCATGAGCAAAAAGAACAAAGCTGGAGGTGTCACACTAGCTGATTTTAAACAATACTAGGGAGTTCTCTAGTAATTAAAACAGCATGATGCTAGAAAAAAAAAAAAAAGACGTATCAACCAGCAGACTGGTTGAAGAGAGCCCAGAAATCAACCAATGCATGCACAGTTGATTGATTTTCAACAAACCTGCCAATAATACATGGTGGAAAAAGGATAGTCTCTTCAACATATGGTGGTGAAAAAACTAGATATCCACATGAACAATATTGGACCCTTATCTCACAGCATAAATGAACTAAAAATGGATTAAAAACTTAAACTGAAGACCAGAAACTGTAAAACTACTAGACAAAACACAGGGGGAAAACTATACAACATTTGTCTTAGCAATGATTTTTTGGATTTGACACCAAAAGAACATGCAACAAAAGCAAAATAGACAAATGGAGTTCTATCAAACTAAGAAGCTTCTGCACAGCAAAGGAAACAATTAATATAGGGGAACAACCTATGGATTGGAAGAAAATATTTGCAAGCCAAACATCTGATAAAATGTCAATATTCAAAATATATAAGGAGATCAAACAACTCAATAGCAAGAAGACAAAAAGCCCAATTTAAAAATGGGCAAGGGGCCTAAATAAGCACTTCTTAAAGGAAGACATACAAATGGCCAACAGATATATGAAAAAATACTCAACATCACTAATCATCAGGGAAGTGCAAATTAAAATCAGAATGAAATATCATCTCACATCTGTCAGAATGGCTATTATCAAAAAGATAAACAATAACAAAGGTAAGTAAGAATGTGGAGAAAAGAAAACCCTTGTACACTGTTGTTGGGAATGTAAACTGGTATAACCACCTTGAAAAACTATATGGAAATTCCTTAAAAAACTAAAAATAGAATTACATGAGGCAAAAACCATATTTCTAGGTATTTACCCAAATATTTGAAATACGTTTGTTGAGAAGGTGTGTGCACTCCCATGTTCACTGCAGCAGCCAAGTCATAGAATCAATCTAATTGTCCATCAACAGATAAATGGATAAGGAAAATGTCGTTTATATACACAATGGAATACTCTTCAGCCTTATCAAAGAAGGAAATGTTATTTGCATGTATGCAATTGGAGAACATTATGCTAATTGAAATATGACAGGCCCAGAAAAACAAATACTGCGTGTTCTCGACTATATATAGTATCTTAAAAGAGTTGAACACATAGAAGTAAGAGAGTAGAAAGTGGTTATGGAGGTTGAGGGATGGGATAATGGGGAAATGATGATCAATATGGGTTTTTTTTAAATATCTATTGCACACTGTGGTGGATATATTAATAGTTGATAATGGAGTATTCTACATTTCAAAATTGCTGAGAGTAAATGTCAAACGTTCTCACTACCAAAAAATGTTAAGTATTTGAGGAAACGGATGATTTAACAAGTTTGATTTAATTATTCACATTGTATTCATGAATCATAACATCATATTGTACTCCACAATTTTCTACAATTATAAATTGTGAATTTACAATTCTAAATAATGAGAAAAATGAATATATGGCTTGTCTTGGTGTTAGGAACAAATTAGGAGATTTGTCTTAGTGTTAGGAGCAAATTAGACAGATTTTTCCTAAAACCTCGAGCTAGTTTTGAAATCATTGTATTTTAAAAAAAAATGCACCTATAATAGTCATTTCCTTTTCATTTAATAATATACTATACTTCTATGTAACATTTTGACTTTAGGATACTAAAGTATAAATAAGATTAGATAACTTTAATTTTATGTGTTATTATTCATACTCTGCATTATTAAAAATGTGTAAAGGGGCTAACTTGTAAGATTAAGATACCAATTTTTTTAAAGCAAGAAATTAAAGGAAAATAGGAAAACTGAGATAAATATTAAAACATAAAATGCATCACATAATATCCAATATACTTGGTTGAAAATCTGACCTCAATTTTCCTGTTAATACGGAAAACATTTAAGAAGGATTTTATTCCTTATACTGTAGGATTTTTCCTATACATCTTACTATGAGCTTATAAGAAATATATACTTCCAACATGATATATTTAACAAAAGAACAAAATAGTGAGAAAAGATTGTTAAATCAAGTATGAAAGCAAACTAAATTTTAATCAAAGCATAACATAAATTAGTTTTCGGGTCCAACTTTTAGGTGGTATGATATATCTCCTGGTTGTATGAGGAACAAATGAAGAGAACATTAAAGTGGACATTTGCATATTTTTGTGGTAATATTTATTCAGCATCCCTCATATGCCTTGAGATTATAGTAAATACTTTTATTATGATAAATTTTTCAGATTGATTGACTAGGTTCATGAGGAACTATAAATAAATATTCAATATAAGCTGAATATATCTAGTTATCTCTATAAAACATATGGGAATGCCAGTGATACTGGCCAGTTGGGAGAACATCCAGAGGTATATTTGGATACTGATGCCCCTTTTCTTTTTCCGTAAGTCATGCAAATATTCTCTGTTCTCAGATGTTAGTTAAAATAATGTTAACAATGTTTATTGAGTAACAGTTATGTGTCACAGTATGTAGTTGCTACAGTTGATATTAAGAAAGAGTAAATCCATAACTTAAGGTGCTTATAATATATTAAAGGTATAAGACAAATTTAAGAATATAATACACAATCTAGTAAGGAAGGCTGTCAAGAAGTATCAACAATGTCTGATACAGTGCAGATGAGGGAAGGATGGCTTCTTTTGAGGGACAGAAAAAAAGGTTTCATGGAAGAGGTGATATTTGAAATGGGTCTGGAAGAATTGATATGATTTGAACCAGAGGATAAAGGTGTTCCATGCAGAAAGAATGCCATCATTCTAAGAGCCCAGGTGGCATTCAGTTCTGTTCACATCCTTAACTCTCTGTCCCCAGACCCCAAAGAAGCAGTCACAATAGGAAAAGTCATTTCATTTCTACTCTTATTTACAGAGCTTTAGCCTGCATCTCACACGCTCCAGTTTGAAGCACGTGTCCTGTCCTCTCTCGGTGTGCCTGGCTTCATTAAGGAATCCTCATTTTTGTAGCACTCATTAAAACTGACAACTTATTTGGATGGTCTGCATGACTTTTCTCATCAGCAACTCTGAGAGTTGCTCTGACTCAAATCACTTCCTAGTGCCCCAGCAGCTGCCTATTGATAAGATTACAAGGGATACCTCTTCTCTATTCCTCTCCCTCCTTTCCCCCTGAACCAGGCATATAACATCCCACACTCCAGACTAGTTGACTCCAGGGCCCTGATTTTCTACCTGTCTGGGGTCAGGATAAGATAATAGGAAAGCACCATATAACACAGGAACTGTGAGTAATCTAGTTTACTAGGAACAGGAGATACACTCAGGAGATTGGTAAATTGTCGGCTGGAAAGATAATCTAGGCTCATATTGTAGAAGTCTTTGAGTGACAAGCTGAGAAAATTGTATTTGATTTGATAAGAAACGAGAATCCAATGGAGGATTTTGAGCAGAGCTTACTGTTTGCATTTAGCTCTCTCTCTCTCTAGGTACTGGGTATATGTATGAGTGTGTGTGTTCTCCATGATATATTCTTATAGGAAAAAGAATAGGGTCTATTAGATTTTCTTTGCATAGTGCCACTCACAACTGTGTGCACATAAGAAAGACTTTGTGGAGATGAGGATGATGAGGAAATTTGGGAAAGTTTATTAGACCACAGGGCTTTGCAAAATGTCACATTCATAAAGGGCTCAAGCATTCCTGAGAGGGAAACATAAAGATTGTCAAAGAGAAAGTAGGCAATGCCAGTAAAAATGGAATAGGTATTTACCCTGTGGAAGTCTTTAGTTTTAACTGGCAGAGACTAGATGGAAACTGAAACAAATCTCAGAGTTTCATGCTCTGCTGACAGCAGAGATGTGGTTCAGTTAGCATCTTGCCGAGTGTTTAAAGGATGTGAAACTCTTGCAGTTTACAGTACATTTGGCAGCTCCCTGTTGGATAATCTTTTTTATGTGTATTCTGTTTAGAAGTGAATTCTACACCAGTTATTTTAAGTATTAGTTTTTAAATCTGTTGCTGTGTTAATTATAGCAAGGACAGCAGCAACACAATAATAGGCTGATGGGAATGTTTTATTTAATGAATCAAGGAAATATCCACCAGGGCTGTATAGAAATGGCAGTGGACTGAAAATAATCAAATATGAATGGGTTTAGGTAGCCAATGGCACTGACAGCTTATGAAGCTGAACACCAGATTTTTTTTTTCCTGCTGTAGTTTATGTGAGAGTCACTGAAGAAAATAACCCTTGGCATGATTATATTTTCTTGTGGAATGTAACTAATTTCACAGTGGAATAATTTTGACAAGAGTTCTTAGTTTCCTTCCATATGTTTTATTTCATTTTTTTAAAAAAGAGGCCTTTGCCCTGGCACATTTGAGTGCTATTGAGCACCATAGGAAAACTTTATTTTTTGTGCCAGAAAAAAAAAAGAAAGGTGAGTCACGGTAAATTGCTCTTACACAACTGCATGCTAGCATGAAGACCTCAAAACCAAACAAAGCAAGAGGCCATCTTGACTCCTCATCAAGGTCTGAAGCAAAGTGAAAATTATGGATGAACATTTAATATTAAGTTCCACACCTTCCCTCTGCCCCTGCAGACCAGGTATATAACCACCTTTGTTTTAAAGACAGGTGGAGGAGTTACTGTGTTTTCATTCAAATACATAAACATTTGAAAAGCCATAGCATGAGAATAAGTGGCTGAAGTTATAGAAAATTAAATAATTTTTACCCTTTTCCTGTAAAAAGCTATCCTACAACTTGTATGTACAATATGTAAGGAGGAAAATAAAGGATACCTAGCAGTAGTACTGATTGATGTTGGATTTTTTGAAGCGCAGGCCTTTCATTTCCTTGAATTTTCCATTGATTTACTTCAAAGTGTCATTTCAAAATAGCTTTCTGGGACTAGGGATCTTGGCATGAAATCTTCAGTATGTTCTAGGATACTTTATTCTGGCACTTATTTATCTTATAGATTAAAAAGAAACTTAGAGCCTTAAATGGTTGGTTATGTGAGCTTGCCTCTTCCACCTCCACCCCATACACATAAACACACATACATAGGCACACACACACACACATCTTTTCCTGCTGATATTTTTAAATTGTACTCCGAATAAAAACCAGTTGTCAGGCCTCTGAGACCAAGCCTGCACGTATACATCCAGATGGCCTGAAACAACTGAAGAACCACAGAAGAAGTAAAAAATAGTCAGTTCCTGCCTTAACTGATGACATTCCACCATTGTGATTTGTTCCTGTCCCACCCTAACTGATCAATTGACCTTGTGACATTCCTTCTCCTGGACAATGAGTCTCAGAAGCTCCCCATGGAGCACCTTGTGACCGCCGCCCCTGGCCGCAAGCCAACAACTTTCTTTAACTGTAATTTTCCACTACCTACCCAAATCCTATAAAACTGCCCCACCCCATCTCCCTTTGCTGACTCCTTTTTTTGGACTCAGCCCGCCTGCACCCAGGTGATTAAAAAGCTTTATTGCGCACACAAAGCCTGTTTGATGGTCTCTTCACCCCTACGCGCGTAACACCAATCTGCTGAATAATTTCTGCTTGTTGTAAAGGTAGAAAATAATTTTTTTCTCTACTTTTTCTGAGTTCTTAACTAGTCCCTCCAGTAACAAAAGATAGATTAAGAGGAGAAAAACAAATAGAAGTTTATTAACATTTAATCCTTAGATACACATTCATTCTAGATATTCACAGAAATTAGTCAATCTCAAAGATGTGGGCTTAGTTCAGGCTTAAATACCATCCTCTACTGAAAAAAAGAAAAAAGAGAGTTGGAGGACCAGTAATGTGGCGGTAACCAGGAAAAGCATGGAAAACAAGGGTAAGGTTTGTTATGCAGATTTAAGTCAGTGCCTTGTCTATTGATAACAATCTCTAATGATTTAAAGTCATTCGCTCCTGGTACAGAGAGGAAGACACCCTTACCAGTGGAGATTTTCTTTATAAATGTAAATTTCCCTTTACAAAAGGGTAACCTGTACTCTATTTTTAGGGCTTCTCATGTGTCTGTGGTACCTTCAAATAACCAGCTCAAAATAATCCTTATGCTAAGGAGTCATATTTCAGGGTGGCATATTCTGGTCTCCTACATAATTGATTGAACTAAATATCAGTAGAATAGGAAAAAGAAGAAGTAGGGCCACAACAAAACAAAGCTGTAAATGCTGTTAAATGTAGCTAATACCAATGTAATCATTAAAAATTTAACATGAATTTAAGCCCAAAAGAAAAAATAAGCACACAATAATTCATTAAAAAAATTTGTGGTTCATGTTCAGTACCTGGTAAGCTAATGTACAAGAGGCATGAAAAGTTGAATAAGATACCTGCTCTTGAGATCCTCAAAGTCTGATAGCAAATGTAGAAAGAATTATGACGTAGTATGGTGAGTTCTATAATAAATTACACCTGCCTTTGCAAAAATTATAACAGTGAGAAAATTATGACAGTGAAAGAGATCTGACCTAACCAACTTCATCTTGCTTTTAGCCTCTAAGCTGCCCTTGTTCATTCCTGGGAGAAGGCCAAGCTAACTTTTGGAGGAATTTCATTTATACTTTAACTTTGAAACAAAGATGACAACAGTTTCTCCTGACACAAAATCCCTCCTGGCCTGGGAACCAGACTGCCTTTGAAAAACTAACAAATTAGCCACAAGATTAGAAATTACAGCTCAGGAGTCATGCAGCCAGAGGCCACAAGATCACCAACCCCCTCAGTTGCTCCTATAGACAACATTACTATTGTAAAACCTAAGCTTGGTGTTTGTGGTATTTCTTAGGAAGTACATTCCGATGGATCAGCTGGCGCCACCTAGACTGGTGAACTGGCTCATCTGGTCTTGTTGTCCCCACCCAAGAACCTACTCAGTGCAAGAGAACAGCTTCAACCCTCGCAAATTAGCTTTAAAAAACCCTAGCCTCCAAATTTTTGGGAGGCTGCTTTGAGTAATAATAAAACTCTTGTCTCTTGTTTAGCTGGCTCTATGTGTATTAAACTCTGTCTTGTATTTCCCTTGTCTTGATAAATCAGCTTTATCTGGGCAGCAGGCAAGAAGAACCAGTTGGGTGGTTACAAAATGAATAGTTCACAGGCAGTGATGGGGCTCACATCATCCCAAAATATGATTGTAGGAGACCAGTATATACAACCCTAAAATATGCCTCTGTGGCATATTATTTTGAGAAACTGCAGACATAAAAGCAGCTCTGAAAAGTTGATCCTTTGTAAGAGAAATTGACATCTATAATGAAAATCTCTATTTGTAAGGGTGTCTCCCTCTCTGCACCCTGAAGAGAGAGATGAGTAATTGGAGAAGATATTGACTTAAATCTGCATAACAAACCTTATCTTTGTTTAAGGTGCTTTTCCTGGTCATATCATAACCAGGCCTTTCCCCACATCCTTCTTTCTTTGTTTCAGAGAACAATGGTATGTAAGCCTGAAGTTTAAATGCTTTTCTTTGAGATCTACTCTAGAGAATTACTCATTTCCTAGCTGTCTCATATAAAAATATACATGTTAATAAACGTGTTTATTTTCCTGCTATTAATGTATCTTTTGTTAGAGAGAGTCCCACATGAGAAATATGAATTGTAGGGAAAATTATTTTTTCTCCCCTACAACAACTAGAAAGTAAGGAGGGTTATTAGTAGCAGAGTCAAAAAGAAGAAAGCATACACTGGAAAAAATTGTAACTCATATAAAAACAAAACAGATCTAATTTTCTTAATATGTAAAAGGTTTCCATAAATGAGTAAGACTAATTACCTACTAGAAAAATGTGAAAATTATATAAGCAGATAATTCATTAAAAAGAGATACACATAACCCTTAAAATATGAAAAGGTGCTGAACTTGAATCATAATGAAAGAAATAAAACATAAAATTACACTGCAATAACATCTCTCACCTATAAAGATTGATAAAGATATGTAAGTTTGATACACAGTCTTATCAAGAATGTGGGAGAAATGTGAACTTCACATATTGCTTGAGAAAGTATAAATTGGTACAACACATATGGAGAATAAATGAAAATATTTACCATAATTTTATACTCTCTGATGGAACAATTCCAATTTATTCTGTGAGTATACTAGTATGTTTTTGCAAAATGATATATGTGTTACAGAAAGGGGTCCCAATCCAGACCCCAAGAGCAGGTTCTTGGATCTCATGCAAGAAAGAATTCAGGGCAAGTCTACAGTGCAAAGCAAAAGCAAGTTTATTAAGAAAGTAAAGTGGGCCAGACATGGTGGCTCATGCCTGTAATCCTAGCACTTTGGGAGGCCAAGGTGACAGATCACTTGAAGTCAGGAGTTCGAAACTAGCCTGGCATGGAAAACCCCAAGTCTACTAAAAAAACAAAAATTAGCCAGGCATGGTGGTGTGCACCTGTAATCCCAGCTACTCGGGAGGCTGAGGCAGGAGAATTGCTTGAACAAGGAGGCGAAGGTTACAGTGAGCCGAGATCATGCCACTGCACTCCAGCCTGGGCAACAGAGCTAGACTCTGTCTCAAAAAAACAAACAAACAAACAAAACAAAACAAAATTAATTAAATAAATGAAAGTAAAGTGGTGAAAGGACAGCTACTCCATAGACAGAATAGGACGTTCCTGAAAGTAAGAGGAGGAACGTGTCCACCCTAGTTACAATGCTTGTATATATATGTATATATATACATAGGATAAAAATAGATCTTGGGGAGATGTGCTCTGCTACAAGAGTTTGTGATAAAGGATTAATTTTATTAATTACTATATTTTGCAATAATTGATACTATTATCTTTAAAGCAAAACTATGAATGCCTTTGTTCTCCAGATAGCAGGATATCTGGACACTCCCAAGTCTGGGTCTGTTTCGTAAGCATTATTAATTTGTTCCCTTAACCATAAACCTCTAGAGGCTAAGGATGCCTCATTTTCTGGAAATGTAGCCCAGCAAGTCCCAGACTCATTTTCCTAGCCCTCACTCAAAATGGAGTTGCTCTGGTTCAAATGCCTCTGACATATGTACAGGACTATTAATTCCATCATTGCTCATAATAACAAAAGTTAAAAATCATTTAGAGTTTCATAAATAGGAGAGTGATTAAATATACTATACTACAACCCTGACATAAAATACTATACAGCTATATGGGAATAATGCTATACTCTCTATACTAATATGAAAACACCTCTCTCCAAAACACAATCATTTAGTGGAAAAAAGCAGTGTTCAGAACACACTGCATAGCACCCTACTATTTGTGTAAAACCAGAGCAAACTTGTCTTTGCTAATTTATGCATAAATATTTTTGGAAACACAAAGTTAGCCAATGAGAAGTGAAAGGGAACAGCATGAAACAATAGTGCAAAGGAGACTTTTCACTACCTGCCTCTAAATATGTTTGGATTTTGGACTATGTGAATGCAATATCTTTTGTAATTGCCTGATAGGATTTTTTTCTGCCAACTGCACACACAAAATCAATTCACTGAGACCACAGTATTGCACCAAAGAAAGAGTTTCATTGATGCAAGAGGAGCTATGCTGAAGATGGGGTTATTACTCAAACCAATCTCCCCAAAGGCTTGGAGGTTAGGGTGTTTCAAGTATAGTTTGGTGGGCATGGGGCTAGGGAATGGGTGCTACTGATTGGTTTGGGATGAAATCATAAGGGTGTGGAAAATGGTTCTCTTGTGCTGAGTCTGCCTCTGGGTGGGAGCCACATGACTGGTTGAGTCAAGAATCACAGATCTGGGTGAAATCAGCCAGCCATCAGAAATGCAAAAATCTGAAAAAACATCTCAAAAGACCAATCTTAGGTTCTATAACAGTGATGTCATCTACAGGAGTAATTGGGGAAATTATAAATTTTGTGACCTCCTGAACAATGGCTGGTTATATTTTAGCAGATTTAGGCTCCCTTCATAATGCTAGCCTTACGGCCTTTCATTAGTTTTACAAAGGCAGTTTAGTTTTGGGGAAGGGCAATTATCATCCTTGCTTTAAGGTTAAACTATAAAATAATTCTTCCCAAAGTTAGCTTGGCCTATGCCCAGAAATGACCAAGTACAGCTTGGAGGTTAGAAGAAAGATGGAGTCAGCTATGTCAGATTTCTCTCACTGTCACAATTTTTCAAAGGTGGCTTCACTATTTGAAAAAATGAATTTTTTTTTAAAAAAAAGAAAAAGAGGAAGGAATAAATACTTCCAATCTTGGCAGTCAGGAAAGCCTTTAGAAAGGAAGTGGTAGTTGAGCTGAATTTTGGAAGATGGGCAGTTCAAGCAAAGAGGAAAGAGAAATGAATGGCATGAGGAAATACTCAGAAATATGAAAATATGTGGAGGGTCAGCAAAACCATAAAAAGACACTTGGAAGGAAGCTTCAAAGAGCGAAAAAGAGAGCAGTGATATATAAAACAAAGGAAGTGGAAAGCTCCAGGAAGGAGGGCATGATCATTAGCATCAAAAGCTGCCAGGAGGTCACCTAAGGCTGCAGCACTCCCGCCGTTTATCTGCAGTTTATCTGCAGTTGATCTCCACTTTCTGCTCTTGACTTTTTGCCACTGGACACTGTGGTTACAGGCGTTGGTTTTGTTTCTAGTTTTGCTAACCAGTGATTTGCAGATTCTTTGCTATCAATGTGTTTCTTTGTTAGGCACTTGGATAATGAAAAAGGTAACAGATATAACAGATGACTTTAAAAATTTTTAAATCTATTTTGTGAGAAAAAATTGCATCAGCTAAAGAGCTTATGGACAATTAGAACGCAGTATACCTAAAAATGCAAAATAGTACAAACAAATTTATGATTTTCATAGCACTTAGTTTGTTAAGATACATTACAGGGCTTATTGAGCGGTAATCAAATGAGGTAGCACATATAATAATAAACCGTCATGGAGTACGGTATGAATAGAAGGAATGCTGATGAAGACAATAATGACGATGCAAACATAATGATATCTCGAAACGAAGGGAACATTTCACCCTAGCTCTGTGTTTTCCTTTGTGCTTAAGCCTGTTCCTCCCCATGCTTTTTCTTCAGAACGTTCCATAACTGTGTGGTTAAATGGATAAAACTGGCCAGAATTCCAAAAAAAGCTTCATGAATTTATGTTGGGAAAAGGAGCAGGACATTCAGGAAATAAGAAGAGACTGGATGATGTTGACAGAAGGAATAGCAGGAGCACAACTCTAGTCTCCTGAAAGGGTGTGGCTTGTTCTAGCTCCAGGGAATGGGAAGAGTCTGCAGTTCTGACTGATCATAAACTAGGCATGCGATAGCGGCCTGATCATTTCACCTTTCTCAATTTCAACTTGATTACCTATAAAACGACAAGATCAGTGGTTTCAAATTTTTCTTTTAGAAGTGCAATTTTATTTTTCTTAGGTAAACTGTGCTTAAAAGACCAGTAGACAGAACAGTGGTAGGAGTTGCTCTGGCTGGAGCAAGTATGGGCAACCAGCTGCCCTCTTTTCTCACTGCCTTTTGAGATGGCCTCTGAATGAAGCACCATAATCCAGTAAATGAGGGAATTGGACCGTCTTATGGCCCATTCAAGTTCTAGTTTTTTCTTGTTTTTGTTTTTGTTTTGAGACAGAGTCTCATGTCACCAGGCTGGAGTGCAGTGGTGCGATCTTGGCTCACTGCAACCTCTGCCTCTCGGGTTCAAGTGGTTCTTCTGCCTCAGCCTCCTGAGTAGCTGGGACTACAGGCACACGCCAACACACCCGGCTAGTTGTTTTTTTTTTCTTTTGTATTTTTAGTAGATACGAGGTTTCACTATGTTGGCCAGGCTGGTCTCGAACTCCTGACCTCGCGATCTGCCCACCTCGGCCTCCCAAAGTGCTGGGATTACAGGCATGAGCCACTGTGCCCGGCCTCTAGTTTTTAAAATTGTCCATGGCTTTAGTATTCTGAGAGCACTGAAAAGGTGATTAGTTAAAGGATGAGATTATTCTAAAAAACATTTCTCAATGTCTTCTTTGATCATTTCAGTAGTATTTCAACTTTGGATTATAAAAAAGCTATTTCCTTGGGCATCATGGTGGTCTAGGAACCCCAATAACCTTACTGAGATACCTATATACCAACCTCGGAATCTTATAACTGAAAGATACATGGGTTGGCAGTTATATAAACCTCAAAGGCAAATACAATGTGAGCTGTTTAAAAGTCTCAACTTAATATCAAACTATGCTTACTGGCATTATATTATTCTCCTATAATATATGCACAGGAAAATAAATTATTTTATAACAGAGAGCAATGTATCAAAAAGCTAATTTTCCTCACAGCATAGATAGTTCTCTATATTTCATTATGTCACATGCACAGTGAAAGGTTATTGTGTTAGCGTGTTAGGGCTCTCCAGAGAAACAGAGTCAATAGGAGATATATATATATTATTTCCTATTATATATGTAAGTATATATATAAATATTTAGGTTGGTGCAAAAGTAATTGTTTTGGACATTACTTTCAATGGCAATAAGGGTTTTGGACATACTTTCAATGGAAAAACCTCAATTACATTTGCATCAACCTTATACACACACACACACACACACACATTCACACATATATATGAGATTTATATATACATATATAATTATATATATGTGAGATTTATTATAATAAATTGGCTTACTTGGTTATGGAGTCTGAGAAGTCCCATGAAGTCCCACGATCTGCCATCTGCAAGCTGGAGACCCAGGAAAGCCAGAGGTGTAATTTGAAGGCCTGAGAACTGGAGAGCTGATAGTGTACATTCCAGTCTGAGTCTGGAAGAGCACTGAGAGCCGGAGAAGATTGATGTCTCAGCCCCAGCAGTCAGCAGAGATTGAATTCAGCCTTCCTCAGTCTTTGTTTCATTTAAGCCCTCAATGGATAGGACAATTCCCACCAACACTGACGAGGGCCATCTGCTTTACTCAGTCCACCCATTCAAATGCTAATCTGTGTCTCTTTCTTCTCCTTTTTTCTTTTTTGTTTTTTTGTTTTTTATGAGATAGGGTCTCACTTTATCACCCAGGCTGGAGTACAATCTTGGCTTACCACAACCTCCGCCTCGCAGGCTCAGGAAATTCTCATGCCTTAGCCTCCCTAGTAGCTGGGACTACAGGTGTGTGCCACCACATCCGGCTAAACTTTGTATTTTTTAGTACAGACGGTGTTTTGCCATGTTGCCCAGGCTGGTCTCAGACTCCTGAGCTCAGGCAATCTGCCCACCTCGGCCTCCCAAAGTACTAGGATTACAGGCATGAGCCACCACACCTGGCCTTCAGATGCTAATCTCTTACAGAAACACCCTCACAGACACCTCCAGAAATAACGTTTAATCAGATACCTGGGCATTCTATAAGCTCAGTCAAGTTGACATGCAAAATTAATCACTAGTCATGAAATTCAAAGCTTAAATGTAGTTATGATTTGTGGTAAACTTTTAGGCTATACTTAATCAATCTACATTGTTTTATTATAAAGAGATGGTACCACCCTAATAGTTTGTTGATTCATATTTCTAACCCTTACATGTTGTTTAACTTAATGTTGGTAAGCCAGCTTCTTGCTTTCCAAAAAATAAAATACGTCGATGCTGCCTAACTGCAATTAACCAACATTCTTAAAGCATTTGCCAAAATGGATTGTTTATGAGAACTCATGGTGCTCAGCACTCACTTTCTTCAATAAAATCAATTGAAAAGGTCTAACTGTTGGTGAGTGAAGACTGTGGCGGCTTTAGCTGCCTTCTGATTGCTTGGGCAGATGTGTGTCAGCATGCTTTCTCTTCTTCTGGGGAGTGAAGGAAGTCCCTTTATGTGTGTGCCCAGGACTGGCTCCTGTTCCTGGAATAAATACCATCATGTTGTGCAGTCTTGCAGTTTCTAGTAAGTGCTGTGCATGATTGGCATGTCCTTCAGAAAGCAGCGAGCCTGGATAGGAGACAGAAGGGAAAGCGAGAATGATATCAATAGCCTCCAAGGGGATTTATTTTAAAGCCTGCCATGTTGTCAACATTGTTTCAATACGACAGCTGAGGCTTTTGCCAAGTATTGAACATCTGACCCCATTTGGCTCGTCACTTTAAGCTGTGCTTTTTTCTAAATGGAAGGGCTGACCCTCCGAGAAACCGTAGTCTGTGTTTGGTTCATCACCGAGTTCAAGATGATTATCTGAAGTTTGTTTGAACCTCAAGGGAGAATAAAATTGAACTGAAAATCTCGCCCCAGCAAATTTCCCCAGTGATGTTTGGCCCTTCGGCTTTTGCTTAGAAATGACATAAAAGCAGCTTTTGTCCCCTGGTCATTTGGGACTGGATGGTAGATTCCAGACATATCATATGCCATTCTGGTGATAATCCAGCAGGGAAAGAAATGTATTTAATCATTTTTGAAATGAGAAATACGACATGGAGTTTAATTTCAGCTTAAACATTAAGTTGTGTTTCTTTTGCTGATAGATATTGTCATATACAACAGTTTATGCATTTCAACTTCCAGAGACTGAGAATTTTCCTACTAAAAATTCAACAGCTAGGATAAGTGAAATCTAAGCTTTCAGAAATAGTCAATAACAATGCAAACTTTGAAGTTAGACTTGGGTTTAAATTTTGACTCTACCACTTCTTAGAGACGAAACCAAGAGCAAATTATTAACCTCTCTGAACTTTGCTCTACTTATCTTTAAAACAAGGTCAACAGTGCCCCCTTTATAGGCCTGAAATAAAGATTATATAACCTCTAAGTATAGTGTCTGGATCTTAGTAAATTCTTTATAAATGGTGACAATTTTTATGTAATAAACAGAGAACACAGTAGATACGTAAAATATGCAATAAGCCTGTAAATTTGTTTTATTCATATTTGCCACTAATCCTTCCAAGGTAATAGATCTTATTAAAAACAATAATTACAGTAATGCAATGATACCTTTGGAGGGATATTATTTTACTAAACATTGCCATTTTACTTTATAAATGTTTAAAAGAAAGGAATTGTGTCTTTATACTTCACTGCATATTGTAGGTACTTGCTATGTTTTGCTCTAAAAAACTGACATACCACACTATCAACCAATATTTTAACAATTTTTAAATAACAGAACTTTATGTATAATATTAAGAAATGAAAGGCATTTTTATCTTGGAGATCATAATTTAACAAGTTTTGATCTTCAAATTTTTGTCTTCCTAAAAGAAGGAACATTATCATTCTTTGAATTGTAAACAATTATGCCAGGAATGAGGAATAGTCCCAAGCTGGCTGTGGAATTTGCAGTAGTATTGAGATGGCTTAATCTGACAGTTGAGGACCAAAATGTGTTAACTAGCTTTGTGGCATTTCAGCTGGACTATGTGGATAACTTTCCTTTCTAAACATTTATCTGGTGATATCATGTATCCTCATATAATCAAATCAATGATAAAATAGGAGTGGATTAGTGGGTTGGTTCATGACTATCCACATCGTTTATTTAGCACAGTAAGATGCTATATATATATATAATTTTTTGTTGTTGTTTGTTTGTGTTTTAGACAAGGTCTTGTTCTGTCACCCAGACTGGAGTGCAGTGGCATGATCATGGCTCACTGCAGCCTTGACGTCCTGGGCTCAATGATCCTCCCACCTCAACCTCCTGAGTAGCTGGAACCACAGGCATGTGCCACCATGTCTGACTGATTTTAAAATTTCTTGTAGAGAGGGGATGTCACTATGTTACTCAGTTTGGTCTTGAACTCCTGGGTTCAAGTGATCCTCCCACTTCAGCCTCCCAAAGCACTGGGATTACAGGTGTATGCCACTGCACCCAGCCAAGATGCAAAATTTTAAGTATTTAAAATTTTCTGTATTTAAATTGGTAGTTCTAGCCCAGGCATGGCAGCTCACCCCTGTAATCCCAACACTTTGGGAGGTACAGGCAGAAGGATCACCTGAGCCCAGGAGTTTAAGGCTGCAGTGAATTAGGATCCTAGGACTGTGCCACTGTACTCGAGGCTGGATGACAGAGTGAGACCCTGTCTCATAATAACAACAACAAAAATACATCTGTACTTCTAACCATAATTTTTTTCTTTTTAAATTCTTTAGTTTAATTATATGGTTCTGTCAATGAAATGGGGAAGCAGTAAAAATTGAGTTAAAAATATTAATTTTAGGGCTGGGCACCATGGCTCACACCTGTAATCCCAGCTCTTTGGGAGGCCAAGGCAGGCAGATCACCTGATGTTAGGAGTTCGAGACCAGACTGGCCAACATGGTGAAACTTTGTCTCTATTAAAAATACAAAAATTAGCCAGGTGTCGTGGTGTGTGCCTGTAATTCCAGCTATTCAGGAGGTTGAGGCATGAATATTGCTTGCACCAGGGAGGAGGAGGTTGCAGTGAGCTGAAATCATGCCACTGTAATCCAGCCTGGGCAACAGAGTAATATTCTACCTAAAAGAAAAAAAAAGATATTAATTTTGATATATTAGGGGAGGTAGCAGAATTTGAGCTATTATATGGGGTACAGCAAAGCTAAACTGCCTGATTTATTGTATGGCTAGAAATGCAAACAAAGTCAATTCCAAAAGTGGTGTTTTCAAAATACTTAGAACAAAGCTATCAATAGAATAATAGCTTCTTGGGGAGGCTCCTTTTAAGAAAAATATCCATTAGAATGGCAGGTAGTTTTAATGCATAAACAATTTTATTCCTTTATAGTCACACACCATGCTGTTTTACTTAAGAACTTGGTCTTTTCCTGAATACCAGCCCTATGCTACTCACTTTCACTATGTCACGCCAATAGAAAACTGAAAATTATAAAATAAAGCATTAGAAACTCTTTTAAATTTTTTATCAAAAGAAATCTATTTGTTATTAGCAGCCAATGATTATGTCTTCCTAGTCAACCTTAAACATGAGTCGACATGGATAGGAAAATAACACAGTAGATGCCTTGATTGCTTTTAGCTCTCTGAAAATAGGCACTTAATTTCCTTCACAGAAAAAAAAATTTTTTTCTTTAAAGTTGACTAGTTAAGTGTAGGAGTAATCAAAGCAGCCAACTCTGGAGCAAAAGGCAGTGACTTACGATTTGGTCCATTTACTTAGTGCATGAATTTGTTTTCTAAACTGTATCATGGGGTAATAATAGGACTGATAATCATAAGTAGGACTGTAAGAAGGATGGCATGAAAATATTTGAAACAGATGATGGTGCATGTGTTTAGAAAGACTACAAGAAAGGCTAGTGTCTTTCAGGTTCTGTGTATGTTTCCCTGGATTTAACTTCAACCTCTCATATTACATTTTTTATTTTTAAAAAATTGTATGTTCTTAGGAATTCAGAAACTAGACAGTCAACATTTCCGGCTGAAGTCAGTTACGTGGTAGACATTCTCTGAGCTCATGCTAAGATATTTTTCTTTTCTTTTTAAAATATCTTATGTCTTAACCATTTTCTCCTCTGACATTTGTTTTTCTATCACCTTAATGACTTAAGGAATATAAACTGGACTTATTGTTTTGCTGAATGTCTGATCATTCTAATGGCACCTGACTTATCCAAATTTCCCCAGAGAAATGACTAAATTCAGTAGGAAAATTATTTCATTGGTCTTATGCATCACACATAAGACAGTAATATTCTTTCTCTTTTTAATAATAGCATTACTTTGTTGGTAATTACTTCTGTTAATTTCACTGAAGGCATTTTAAAAAATGAATTATACTCTACCTATCTCTTCATAACTGTGTTCTATTAGTTTCTGAACACTTCTCCATTTAATCAGGGCTGTTTTGAATACCTCTTCTATTCTTATTCTACTAAGAATGCCTGGGTACTTGAAAGATTAAAAAATAAATAAATAAAACAAATTTAATCATAACTAAAACCTCATTGAATTTTTTTTATACTCTTTATTAGTGGGTGTGATCTCAAAGGGGTCTTGTTTTATCTCTCATAGACGGAGTTGATAAAGAAAGTTGTAATTCAAATTCTGCTAAAATTAATCTTAAAACAATTAAAGTATTGTATATTGCACAATTAACTGTAGTCTAAATCTCTGCCATACTTTCTAGCTTACTCTCATAGTGTAATCAGCACAAGCAATATAGATCATGCCTACTATGGATTGCTATAAAATACATGAAATGGCCAGAGAGTATACAATACCACTGGGATGCATTTTTTTTTAAGATGGAGTCTTGCTCTTGTCACCCAGGCTGAAGTGCAATGTCACGATCTTGGCTCACTGCAACCTCCGCCTCCCGGGTTCAAGCAATTCTCTCTGCTTCACCCTCCCAAGTAGCTGCGATTACCAGTGACTGCCACACACCGGGCTAATTTTGTATTTTTAGTAGAGACGAGGTTTCGCCATGTTGGCCAGGCTGGTCTCGAACTCCTGACCTAAGGTGCCCTGCCCACCTCGGCCTCCCAAAGTGTTGGGATTACAGGCATAAACCACAGTGCTGGACTGCATTTTTATAAAATTACTTCTCCTAAATACAACCTGTTAATAGCATGAGGATGCTTCATACCAATTTTTCTTTCTCTGTGCTTCAGTATTTTTTTCTTTCACTGTATTATTATTAGTGTGTACTAAGGAGTAGCTCTTTCAAATAGAGTGGTTTTTTTTTTCAGCTAGAAATCTTGGTATCTCCTGTTCTCCCCTTGATCCGCTCTCCTTGTATGTCTGCTGTTTCTCAACCACCTCATACAAGGATAAAGAGGTGGTGGTCTCCTTGAGCTTTTAAGAGTCTTTGAATGAATCTTAAATTGTTTAGAGGCTTTTCTCTCCTATCTAGAGTCTTTCGAAACTGTGACTCAATTTTTTTCTTGTTTGTACAGTCAGCCCTTTGTCTTTGGGGGTTCCACATCTGTAGAGTCAACAAATCAGATTGAAAATATTTGGGAAAAAATTTGCATCTGTACCAAACATGTTCAGACGTTTTCTTCTCATTCCTTAAGCAAAACAGTATAACAACTATTTACATAGCATTTATATTGTTAGGTATTATAAGTAATCTAGATACAATTTAAAGTATATGGTAGTATGTGAGTAGGTTATATGCAAATACCACACCATTTTATATCAGAGATTTGAGCATCTGTGGATTTTGGGATCTGCAGGAGCTTCTGGAATCAATGCCCCAAAGCCCATGGATATTGAGGGACAACTGTACTTGGAACTGATATGTGTTGCTTGGAAATTAAAATTCCTAGTCTAAAGCTTTAAAAGTGGCTAGCCTAATAAAAATTTCAAGGTCACTTTTTTAAGAAAACATACCATTACCTAACACAGAAAAAGAATTAGTTTACAAAGAAAACATAGACAAATTTGGTCAAAGATATTGAGGCAAGGAAATAAAAAGGAACCATGAAAAGCTGAGCTAAAAGGATGTTTTCCAATTTAGAAAAAGAGAGTCATCTTCTAAAATCCTTTTGAAAATAGTGCAGAAGCCATAAAGTATATAATTATTTCTCTACTCTAAAAATGGTATATGATTGAAACAACATAATATTCTGGGGGGGAAAAAACCCAAATCACTTCAGTTATATTTGTGCTTTGTTCTTATAAGCCATTTCAATTTGCTGAAGCCAGAGGACTATTAACCTAGTCTCTGAAATTTTGAAGTGTCCTGAATCCTGTTTTCCGTGAACAACTAAAACTCGATTATATACATAAAGTGAAATTTCAATAACTGAACATATGATTGTAAGATCTTATGAAGGGATGATAATCAACAGAATTAATGAGAGTGTTTAATTTCATGCAGCAATTTTCACAAAAGGTAGAGCACAACAGTAAACTCCATGAGTTGCATTGTAATCAAGCTCCTCTTGTAATGAATGCAGGCCCTTAATTTATTGAAACTAATTTTGAAATCATGGTACCATACATGCTGTCTACTGTAGAAATAATTTATAAACATTAATTCCAGGAAAGAGAGGATCCATTTGCTTCAAAGAGCCCATCAGCAAGCTGTCCTTCCTGTTTTATCAGTAAGCAAAGCTGAGAGCAAATAACAGATGGGACTGTCCCTTGGTGGTGGCGCAGAGCATGCATGAAATATAGCACAATCTTCCTCCAGTGTGTTATGCTTTTAACAGTGGAAGATCAGAGCAGGAGAGGTGTGGGCCAGGATGAATGACTGTCTCTGATGAAACATTCTTCTCTTCTAGCAAGATTCCTGTAGCAGATTGAGCTCTGGCAGTTGATCTCAGTGGCTTGATAGAGTGTCATTATAAAAACGCACCTGGAAGATTCTGTGGAAAAGACAACCTCAGAAGACCAAGGTGAATCCAAGGCCTGATCTGGACTCTTAATGGGTGGTTAAATTCTAGTTCCTTTAAATAAGCATCAAAGACGCCACAAAACCACAGATAAAGCTGCCATAGACAGCTATATTTGGGACTCATTTATCATTTGTCACAAGCATTTCATCCTCTTGCAATATTTTTTTCTACTTAGTACTTCTACAAGAAGGTGAGTAGTTGTGCATTTGATGTGTGTTGGGGGCTGTGAGGCTAAAATCTTCTGCCTCTGTTGTTTGTGTAACCACACTGAAGGCTGTTACTAGGGCTGTGGAAGCTGGATTTAGTATATGTTATTCCTAATGGAAAAATCTATCAGCCCCACTTCAGTTGCTATTATTAAACAGCTTTTAGTCAGTCAGATACGAAGTGATCCCCAATTCCACTAGTAGATTCATGCTCCGTTCATTATCACTGTTCACAGTAGCTTTTCTAAATGTTTTTCACTTATCCTGGGTTTCTAAGTCTGCCTGATTCCTTCAGCTTTGGACGCTGCTCCTATGTCCTGTTGAAGTGAAAAGATCAAGGCTGCCTGATCTCCTTTAACAAACAACTGTAACCTGCCCCTCTTTGATTTACGATATCATTGTCATCATTAGTCCTTTTTCTCTCTCCTATTTTCGGGAAAATATTACCCTCTTCTTTTAAAAAGTTAATCCACACACATGCTCTTAATTTTACCCATTTCCATTCATTCTTCAATTATCCCCGTGATTACTGAAATATTCAGTCTTTTTCTCTTAAGTGCATTCTCTAATTGACTTGATGAATTTATGTCTTATAAAGAAAATAAACAAAGCATTACTTCCAAATCTGCATTGCCCTTCAAGCTACTATCTCCTCTATTTCTATGAAATTTCTTAAAAGATTAGTCTGTCATCATTAGTTCCTGTAATTGTTCTTCATCTAATTTACTCCTCTCTTTATTGCGGTCTCACTTTCTGCTCCCCAGTCACTTGAAACTGTTCTATCAAAGCATCTAATTCCTAATCTATCAAACACAGTCGTGATCACTTCAGACTATTAGGCATATGAACACTCTTTCTACATTGAGTTTTCAAGTCTTGGCAGAAGGCACGGCTTCATGTCCAAGGATGAAGAGGTAATATGCTTTGTCTTTCTATACTAAGGCAGAGAGGACAAAGGCACATAGCCTTGGTTTGACAAGTCAGATGGTCCCATCTGGGGATAGAGGAAAAACGATCCACAGTGCCACAGTAGCAGCACAGCAGAGACTGGAACAGAGGTGATAGTGCTAGCTAGAGACTCTGTGGTGTCCCAATCTAGCCTTTTCCTATGCAGTGTTTCTTGTTGACAAATCTCCCTTGGTTCCCACTGACTTTCTGAGCCTTCCTGGCTAAGTTTCATATAATTCTGTGAGCTAACTAATATCTTTGCCATAAATTACTTGCTTGCCTTAATTGAAACATATTTGGTTTATCTTCCTTTGAACTAAAGATCTCATTAGTACAGAAAGTCATACTTTGGAATCAGTTTAATGTAATAGAGTTTTAGGGAAAGTGGAGTGAAAAGTCAGCAAGTGGAATTGATTTTCAGACTGGGGCCAAAAGGGGCAAAATTCCACTTGTCCTCACAGACACGATCCTGGTAGCTCATCCTATGCCATGGTGAAGAGCTAACTAAACAGTGCCTTTGGTCCCTGTAATGAAAGGCTCTCTTAGAATGAAATGCCTATTCAAGGCGAGGTTTTGGGGAAACCAAGTTGCCACCGTCATTGAAAAGATGAAAGACTGTAGGGATGCACCTGATGTTTGGAGGGCACCGAATAGCTGAAAAAAAAAAAAAAAAAAAAAAAAAAAAGAAATAGGCTGGGCGCAGTAGCTCACGCCTGTAATCCCAGCACTTTGGGAGGCCGAGGCAGGCAGATCACGAGGTCAGGAGATCGAGACCATCCTGGCTAACACGGTGAAACCCTGTCTCTACTAAAAATACACAAAATAGGCTGGGCGTGGTGGCGGGCACCTGTAGTCCCAGCTACTCAGGAGGCTAAGGCAGGAGAATGGTGTGAACCCAAGAGGCGGAGCTTGCAGTGAGCCAAGATGCGCCACTGCACTCCAGCCTGGGTGACAAAGCGAGACTCCGTCTCAAAAAATAATAATAATAATAATAAAAGATAAATGATAAGTTAATCTTCTTAAATTATTGATTATGGCAAAGACTGAGTTCCTGGAACTCTCACAATCCTAACAGAGTCTCAATTCTCTCTAATTCTTTCAACTTTCATGTAGGTGAAAATCAAACTCCAAGTTTGATATTATGATTGCCAAATTATACTATCAGTTGATTTTAGAGTCTTGCCGGTCCTTGTATGAGAAAGTGAGAGACAGCAATGCTCAGAAAACTATAGGACTGGAGGATCCTAAGCATAAGAATTAGACAATGTGGGGTGATTCCAAAGCCTTGAACTCATAGCCTTTTCCCCCTCTGTAGTTGTGTGCTGGAGCCAGCTCTTGCCAGCTCCTGAGATCAACTGCATTTATCTCATCTCTACTCTGTGTCCATGATATGTTGACAATTTGAAGTCAGTTACAAGTATTTGAAATGCCACAATCAGGGCTGTCCCTAACCCCCTTGCCGGAGAATGGATTGTTAAACATTTGCCAGTGCAGTACTGTTAATGGCATCACAGAAGTGCATCCTCCCTTCTTCGATGGAAGCGGCTTTTCTTGCTTGGAGACTGTATTTCCTTTCTTTTTCAGAGGCTGACTTTGCAAGAGAGAGTCCGTTTACCACTTAGAACCGTGAACACCACCCCCGCCCTCATTTATCTCCAGACTTGAACTAGTGGTTAAATCCCAACATGTCCCAGAGAAGTCAAAAGCATTGTAAAATCTGGGTGAGAAGATTTCTTTCTTTTGATCTTATGACAACAAAACTTGGGACTATGTGTACTAGTAATTGACCTTGGACAGGTAACGTGTAATTTTTCAAAAGAATAAATGTATCACTCTGAGCTTCTATATTGAAAGAGTTACCCAGAGTGGCTACAGTGGGTCTGATTCTTGGCTCATTTGCTTGGTTATAATCTGGGTTTCATGGAGGCTTGGGATAGTGAAGTTGCGATCCTAGAAATCTCTTAAATAATGCAGGGAAGGGTAGCAAGTACTCTGGGTTGGAATTATACATAAATCACCTTCATCCTAATTTATTACCCAAGATGTCTAGAAGATAATTTCTTCACCAATATCTTGAGGAATGTATTGGTGAAGGGAGTTTTGAGGAGAGTTTGTTCTACTGTTCTTCCTAAGCTGAGGATGTTGATGGCAGATGCTTCAGTTGACATGGTTTCCCTGATTGAAATGAAAAGGAAACTATTCTAGGGCAGCAGAGGCCAAGTAGCAGCATTCAAAGGAAGGACGCAAAATCATTGTGGTTATCATAAAAGGCAGCAGGGCAAGCTCATCAGCAGAGTGTTATGTATTACAGAAACCTTTGGTAGTGGTTCACCAGTCACTGGGTCTCTTGACTGAAATAGACGATAGTACATTAGTCCCTCTTGATTTGTGTTACGGAAAACACCCCACACCTGGGAAGTATAGGTCTGACCTGGGTCATCATTATGGGAAGTTGCTCATTCTCTCCCAATTCTCAGACCTGAGTTAACGCCATAATCAAGAATTCTTTGAAGATGGACTCAGCAATAATATCACTTGTTTGTGCAATAAATCTTCCCAGCCTTCAGCAAAGGATCTTTGGCTATTGCAGATATTGCAGATAAATAGCTTTTAATCTGGTTTGCCTATTCTTTGTTCGGGGGTTTATTCAGAATGGCTAGAAAATGCTGTCCTTTTGGAGAAAAAAATTCCAAAGAGCTACTGCTGTTTTACACCAATGATCTAGCAAACAGCATGAATAGTGATATTACATTCTAAGGGTAATGTGCTTTTAGGGGTCAACATTCACATAAACATTTTCAGGTACCAAATGTTACTGTTTTAACTTTGTGACAAAAATAGACTGCTTGCATTTTAGGTCATGCTGATAAAATACTTCCTAGAATCTGGCTACACAGACATTTCATGCCAGGTATTATTTATATGTGAATAAAATGCAACGGAATGTGAATAGAATGCAAAGGAGCTATAAAATTCCATATAGTAAAAATACATACAGTAAACATGCCCTGGAAAACAGAAATAACCAGAGCTTTGGGATATTGTTAAACACCAACTCAGAGCTATCCTGATTCCTGGAGACTGAGAATAACACTGTCTCTACTTATCAGAATGACAAATTGTACTTCAGGTTATAAATTGAGTTTTGATCTCAGTTGGCCTCTAGGTAGTCCAGTCTTGTGGTAATTTTTCTGAGGATATGACTGGAATAGGTCTCTTAAGCAATTGGCAGAATCCCCAAATGGGTCTCTGCACCATGGAGTAGGGCCATTGTGATAGAAAATGCCAAGCTTCTGGTATTGCCCTTACCTACTAAAGCACTAAAATCCAAAGAAGTATTGCATTCATAGATGAATTACGGAAATTAAAAATATCATTAAAAGCCTGAAAGATGTTGGGTTGATGATTCTTTTTGTGTCTCTATTTTGTCCCGTGCTTAGAAGATGTAGCGATACTGAGCGATAAATTGTACCCCTGGATGGTCATTTAACAAATATTTATTCAGTAGCAACCAAGATTCATGCTTTGTGCTAGGTGTCAGGGGTACAATGATGAGCAAATCTTGACATGGTCTTTGCTTTTGTAGCACTGATAATTTAATGGTACAAACTGGACAGTCACTGCTCAAGATAATTCTATAAGCTTGTGTTACAGGGGAACCCTCTGTTGTCCTGGGGTGTGTGTGTATCTGTGTGTCTGTGTATGCAAGGAGTTTTGGAGGAGAAAATGGGAAAGGTAGGAAAAGTCTTACTTCAGCAAGTGATATTTCAGATGAGCTCTAAGGCAGAGGTAGGTGTCAAAGAGCACAGACAAAGGAGTCCGTGCAGTGATTCCATAGCAGGAGAGAAAAGTGTGCTTGAGAAGCGAATGGAAGACAGTACACCTGGAGTGAGGAATGTGAGGTTCAGAGTGACCAAGAGGAGCCTGAAAAGTAGACAGGGACCTGAACTTGCAGGATTTTCTCTGATCTGAATAGCGATGAGAAATCAAGTGTGTGGCTTTAAACAGGGATGACATAATATCATGATTAGACACGTAAAGGAATACTCTGGGTGCAGTATGGGTATGAACAGAGAGCGGCAAGGTATGTTATTGAATTGTTGCAGTGAGAGTTTGTTGTATGGATATAGAAATAGGTAGATAGAGTTATGAGACATTTAGGAATTAATATTAATAGGACTCATGATTGACTGTTGGTGATGGATTGAACACTGGGTGTGAGACAGTAGAAAATGTAAAACAGTGTTCTTATATTTCTGGTTTGCATAGCAGGATATACATAAATATGTATATATATTCATCGTGTATATACTGAATGAGAATAAGATTGGGGCCAATGATCTTAGACCTATAATATTTGAGGGGCCTGACACACATTCATATGAAGATGTTGAGTGAGAAATTAGACATGAGGATAAATAATAGGAACTGGTTTGGTGATGAAATAAATATGGAAGTCATTGGTCCATAGATGGGAAATGAGGTCCATTATGTGGAAAAATGCAGACGGAGGAGAGAAGAGCCCGAGGCTGTGCACGGACAGACATCAGCACATGGGGTAAAAGTGCCCTTTGAGAAACAAAAATAAAATCCTAAGTCCCTAAACCAACTGAATAGACCCCTTCTTGCCCAACGGGACCTCAGAGAAACCTTAAAAATGGAGTTCACAGCCATGACACGATGGGAGGTCAGATGTGCCTCGTATACCTCCTCCCTTGCTAACCGCCACTAGGTTCTCTTCCCTAGGTGTTTAACAGTAACCAGCCCTTTTGAAAGATTCCTTCTGCCACCTATAGGAACCAACTGCCTGATGCTGCCCCTCCCTTTCAGTTTTTTTTTTTAATTTATTTTTTATTTTCATTTTTTGAGATGGAGTTTCACTCTTGTTGACCAGGCTGGAGAGCAATGACACGATCTCGGCTCACTGCAACCTCCACCTCCCAGGTTCAAGTGATTCTTCTGCCTCAGCCTCCCGAGTAGCTGGTATTACAGGTGGCTGCTACCACACCTGGCTAATTTTTTATTTTTAGTAGAGACGGGGTTTTGCCATGTTGGTCAGGCTGGTCTCAAACTCCTGACCTCAGGTGATCCACCTGCCTCGGCCTCCCAAAGTGCTGGGATTACAGGCGTAAGCCACTGCACCTGGCCCTTTTCACAGTTTCGACACAGCAACTGACCAGCATTCCTTCCTGATAAGAGACCATTGACCATGAAGTGCTCCTGGGGCCCGTCTTTGTAGGCTGCCACATAGAGGTTCTTTGTGTCCTCTGGTTCACCTTTTGATGTATAAGGTCTAATTGTAACACATTTAAATGTTAAGTCTTCATCCCAGAGTGAACATGGGATGCATGTTACACATGCTGTGCCTCCCCTTTGTGAATATTTATATCTCCTTCTATGACCTGCTGAATATGTATACTTAGCCACCCTGTTAGCCATAAATCCATCTTATTTTTCCTATCCTACCCTCTACATGCCTGTTTCCAGCTTCTAGCCAGAGGCTACACTTCTCAGTCTGTCAGAATGGTCGCCGGCAGGCTCCAACCCTTCATGAGAAGAACCTTTAAGCTCTCCTTTCAGATTTATGAAGTTAATCACTCTTCAGTTGACACCCTAAAGTGCAGTCAGTAAAGTGTGATGCACTCAGCAAGGACTTACTAAAGGTTTATGGGACCAAAAACAAAACTGGTAAGAGGAAAGAGCACCCTTCAGGCTCTCTGACTTCTTGCCAGCTTAGTCTTGGGTTTGTTTTTACTCTTTAGCTCCATTGCAATGTTTGGCTGGATTTCTCTGGTTCTGATAATCTTGGGTATTAGGTATTTGATGAGGTAATTCAAATAGTGTGTAAAGTGTTTCTTATTGATAAAATGAATTTTGGATACTCTACTTCACGCTCACACTAATTTTTCTTTGTGTGCTTTTTAATACTTAGCAAACTCTATTTTATCTTAAATTCTTCATCTAGGAATCTGCCCACCACTCAAGCCTGGGAAAGCTGGCAGAGGATGCACGTGTTTTACTCACCTGAGTGTTTACAATGCTCGTGAGGTGCCTCCCTGATAGTAAGTGCTGCTCTTTCTTAACATTCTTTTTTCCTTTAAAATTTGTTTCAATCCATGAGGTAAAAAATAATGACGATATAGATAGACGAACAGTTCATGTTGTTTTTCCCTGCAGTCAAATAGACAAAAATTTCAACACAAACTTTTATTCCTGGTATTTGGCTTAAAAGTAAACGTCAGCTACGTCAAGAAGCTAATGGTGTTCTCTGCATATCTCACCAGTTACTGATTCTTCTACTTAATATAAAAATGCATTTCCAAAATCTTACCACTGGGGGGCAGCATCGTGCAAAGCTAGCCTTTAGTTTTTCCTTCCTGTGTCCAGTATAGAGTGCTCCTAATATCTATCACAGACTGGTGCTGTGCCATTAATGGAAGAAGAGCGAGCGTGCGTGCGTGCGTCCGTCCGTCCGTCTGTCTGTCTATCGGTCTATTTTCCCTTTGCCAAATTCTTTCCTCTTCCTTTTTTTCCCAGTTCTTTGTGAGTTAAAACTTCTGTTTTTGAAACTTCCAGGAGCTTAATTAATAAACATGAAAACCAAGTTGAAGCTGGCACAAAGCCCTTTTTTGCTCAACCACTTGGGCATGCTAGGGTAACTGTAGTTATTTACATTTGGCATCCAACTGACTCAAAGAGCAACACTGCTTTTTTCTTTCCCCCCTATGAGTACCGAAGCTATTAAATTAAACAGGTTAATGTGGCTACAGCATTTCGCCCCCTACTATCCCCCAGCTATAGTAAATCTGCCACCTGTTTATTTCCATAAAAATTCAATTACAGCACCACGAGTTATTCTTCTTATGTGAGCAATTAACTTTAGGCAGTTTCAGGCCACAGAGAAAGGCCAGGCTGGCCTGCTCCTTTCTTCTTCGCTCCCTTTAGCCGCAGGTCGTTCTTTCGCTAAGTGACTGTGCTCCTTCACACCAGTGAAAAAATGAAAAAGGAAAGAATAGACTAGACTGCTGGGCACTGTCACGCCAATGAAAAAGCAAAAAGCGAAAAACCGCAAACAATCTTCTGCCTCCCTATGCCCAAGCCTTAGAGGCCCGGGGAAGTTAGCAGCAAGCAGGCAGCCAGGACCACAGGGGCACACCGGTGTTGTTCAATAGCACACCAAAATGAAGAAGAAATTACTTGCAATGTGTTCATTTTCTTTCTTCTTTATATTTGTAAAAAATGTGACCAAGAAGGGAAAGGCTGGTAAAATGCCACAGCGTTCTGGCTAAAGCAACAACGCAATTGTGAAGAGAGAAAACTGCATTCATCCACATGTCCCAGCAAGAGCTATCACCAAAGGCATTGTGAAGCAGTTGAGCAGTTACATCTGCTCTCCTTTAACAGGAATGAGTCTTTAGTACCCGGTTGCAAATGTTGACTTTTACCTTTTCTTTAAATGTCTGCTACTCTTTGTCATATTTCTTCTCCTTCTCTCCAAATTCTACCAATAAAAGTAAAAATTACTGAATCGTACATCTAGTGATTTTCTGCATGACCTAATTGTCGAACAGGTATTGAGGTACTTGCTTTCCATCGATCCCTGTAATGCCATTGACACTGACTTATATTTCTAGTAAATGTATAAACATGGTTTTAAGAGTGGGTTAGACTCTGAAATAATCTTTGAGTAAATCTTACCCCAGGTTCAGGTTAAAACAAATACTTCTTCGTAAGTAGGTTGGTACCAGTTCCTATTGAGAGGTGACAGCTTGCTGGCAGCCCTCGCTGGCTCTGGGCGCCTCCTCGGCCTTGGCGCCCACTCTGGCCGCGCTTGAGGAACCCTTCAGCTCACCGCTGCACTGTGGGAGCCCCTTTCTGGGCTGGCCAAGGCCAGAGCCGGCTCCCTCAGCTTGCGGGGAGGTGAGGAGGGAGAGGAGCGGCGGCAACGGCGCGGCGGGAACCGAGGATGCGCGCGGCGCTTGCCAGACAGAATGAGTTCCGGGTGGGCGTGGGCTCCGCGCGGGCGGGAACCGGGGCTGCGCGCGTTGCTTGCCGGGCTGCGCGCGGTGCTTGCGGGGCTGCGCCCGGCGCTTGCAGGCCAGCACGAGTTCTAGGTGGGCGTGGGCTCGGCGGGCCTCGCACTCGGAGCAGCCGGCCGGCCAGCCCGCAAGCACCGGGCAGTGAGGGGCTTAGCAACTGGGCCAGCAGCTGCTGTGCTCTATTTCTCGCAGGGCCTTAGCTGCCTCCCTGCAGGGCAGGGCTCGGGACCTGCAGCCCACCATGCCTGAGTCTCCTCCCTGCTCTCCTCTCCCCGCTCCCCCGCCGTGGGTTCCTGCGCGGCCTGAGCCTCCCCAACGAGCGCCGCCCCCTGCTCCCGGCGCCCGGTCCTAACGACCACCCAAGGACTGAGGAGTGGGGGCAAACGGCGCGGGACTGGCAGGCAGCTCCACCTGCGGCCGGTGCGAGATCCACTGGGTGAAGCCAGCTGGGCTCCTGAATCTGGTGGGGACTTGGAGAACTTTTATGTCTAGCTAAGGGATTGTGAATGCACCACTCGGCACTCTGTATCTAGCTCAAGGTTTGTAAATGCACCAATCAGCACTCTGTGTCTAGCTCAGGGTTTGTAAATACACCAGTGGACACTCTGTATCTAGCTAATCTAGTGGGGACGTGGATAACCTTTGTGTCTAGCTCAGGGATTATAAATGCACCAATCAGCACCCTGTCAAAACGGACCAATCAGCTCTCTGTAAAACAGACCAATTGGCTCTCTGCAAAATGGACCAATCAGCAGGATGAATAAAAGCAGGCTGCCCCAGCCAGCAATGGCAACTGTACAGGGTCCCCTTCCACACTGTGGAAACTTTGTTCTTTCGCTCTTTGCAATAAATCTTGCTACTGCTCACTCTTTGGGTCTACACTGCCTTTATGAGCTGTAATACTCACCGTGAAGGTCTGCAGCTTCACTCCTGAAGCCAGCCAGACCACGAACCCACCGGGGAGTAACGAACAAGTCGAGAGTGTGCCTTAAGAGCTGTGACACTCACCGCAAAGGTCTGCAGCTTCACTCCTGAGCCAGCGAGCCCATGAACCCACCAGAAGGAAGAAACTCCGAACACATCCGAACATCAGAAGGAACAAACTCAGGACACACCGCCCTTAGGAACTTTTAACACTCACTGTGAGGGTCCGCAGCTTCATTCTTGAAGCCGGTGAGACCAAGAACCCACCAGTTCCGGACACACTATCGAAGTGTAGTTATTATCAATAAATTCAGAGAATAAGAAAAACATCAAAAGAGAAATAATTAGGGTATAAATAGATGATACAACCCAAGGGCACCTTGAACCCCTATCTAGGACAGGTGTATGGAGGGCTCAGATTACTCATCCAAATTGTCATGTGTCTGAGTTGATTCCTGAGCAACATTAGCTCAGGCAGTGTTGCTGGGCAGGCATGGATGTCAGATGTCGGCCATTCCTAAAATACTCCCAGGGGATTAAGTGAGTATATAAATATCTCCCTCCTGTGTTCCTGCATCTGAAGGTGCCCTACACCCGAGAGCATTAGTGTGCTGCTAGGATAAAAGAATGTAATAAAATGGACTTTGAAGGCACATGTCAAAGGAAAAAATACAGTCTAATTAAATTTAATCATCTTTTAAATGGTTACTCAAAAGAGAGACTCTGTTAGAAGTTCAAAAGGCCTATATAAATCCTCCCGAGGCAAGTCCATACCGAGAGCTCACATATGGCAGTTGGAAGAGTAAAGGAAAATTTAGAAAGTTTGTTTCATCTTGGTAGGGCTGATGGGACTTTAATGAAGACAGACCAGTATCACATGGCCCTGAGATCACATTCTCTGCTGTCAAATGGGTTCAAGTTCACAGTCTTGAAAATTGTCCTTTTCCTATATTCAAATGTTCTCATGAGCCCTTTTCTTTTCAGTTCAAAGTAGATGTTAAAATGAGTTTTAAGTGTTTATTCTTTATCCTAGATTTTGGGCAGATGCCTAATTTCCATAGCTTCCTTACCTCCTGAAGAGTTTCAGGCTTTTTGCTTCTGCCAAAATGTAGCAAACCTACAGCTTGGTACTTTGAAGTTTGAGTTAAAGCAAAACTAAATGGACCATGTTTATCTGATCAATTAAGGCATTGCCTACATCCTCAGTACTGATGTTTCTCATTTAAGCAGCGTTCTATACAATCCTCAGGAAATTAACAACAGAAATAGAGTTTGGGGAAAGGGGGGTCATTATACAAAGAAATGTAGGAAGAGTGTGGAAGAATTTGACTAGGCTCCAATACAAACTGCATAAACTGGTCTCCAGTGTAAACTGAAGAATGTCTTTGTAGAAGTGGGACTGTAGAAAAATATTTTTTAAAGTTCCAAAAATAGAAGTTTGATTTAAAACGCCTATTAGGTAAAGTGATCTACTAGATTTAATAGTCTTTAACATGATTGATGTTTTTAATTAAAAATACCTCATCTTTCTCTCAGGGATTAGCATGTGTACAATTCAGTTTAACTACAGTTCAACAGGGAGAATTCTATAAACAGTACCATGCTAAGCAGAGTATTCAATTTAAAAAAATAAAATGAGCATAAATTAAAATTCTTCTAGGAGTTTACAATTTCTTTTTCTTGAGACCAAACCGAACAACACCAATTGATTAGTATGAGAGTGAATGATAGGTAATTGAACCCTCTGGCTGTTCCCAGTCAACGTTCTGTTCTACTATTCCCAATAATAGCTGGAGATACACTTGTTTGGCTTCCATTCCAGCTAGCTCAGGACCTGTGTACACAGCCCTTTCTATAGAAAGACAGGAAATCCTCTTTTCTCAGAATTCCTACTAGATTCCTTAGTCCTTGTTTTGAGCGAATCACATCGTCCAACTGGCACCAACAGATTAACTTGAAACTTTGTAAAGAAAATGATGTGCTTTTTGATATCTGGCAGATTCTATGGAGATTGCCTTCCAAATTCAAAGATTTGTCTCCGAAATTGTGCCTTGGCAAGAAAACGAATGTACAATCTTCACACATAGGGTGTGTTTCACTTCAATTTTAATACTATAGAGGCAAAAAAACAGCTTTCTCCAAGTTCCAAGTTTTATGTCCATAGTCTCTTCAACTATAAATGGGAAAAAATAGCAAAGATAAAGCTATTAATCTGTCTGACCCATATTCCCCTAAAAAGTTGCTTTTTCTTTCTAATTTGGTTTTCTATATTTCTTTTATGATTTACTTCTATAATTATTTTTATGATTTTTCTGATTTATTTTATGCATCTGTTTCTTCCCCAAAGACATATGATGTCTGTCCAGTTATTTAAATTGCGATAACTTTTAAACTTGATTTATTAAATATATGGTGGAGATAATTGTAGAGATTTTGTGGAAGCCTGTACGAGAAAAAAGTTTTCCTGGGGAAAACTGTTTCAACATGGTACATGTCTTGATAAAGATCTGTGTTGATTTAATGGAAAACTTATTTCCCAATGTATTTATAAGTAAAATTTTGTATGATTAAATGGCAGCCGATGGGGGAAACTTGGGGAAATAAATCACTTTTCCTTAGAAAAAGATTCATTTATATTTTAACCCCTGAGACAGTGTTACTGATGATATTATAGTTAGATCATTATTTACCATTTCAGATTTACACTAAATATCTCGATTTATCTAACGTGGATGAAAGTGTTCTTGGGCCTACTTATATCTCTTAAGTAGACTAATGAGATGACAATTTTGAAAAGGGTAAGAAAGTGTAAGGAGTATTTTTATTCTATTATGTTCAAGTTGTTTTTGGTTTCTTTCTTTTTTTTAAGAATATTTCAAAACTGCTTTGGCTGTATTGAAGGTGGAAATGAGGATTTTTCTCTTAACAACAGATAATTGGTACAATGTGATCTATTTCATGTTTGGAATGATATGGGTTTTGTACTTAAAGTTGCTGGGTTGACAAGAGCTGTGTGGAAAGGAGAAAATAAAAAGGGACAAAATCAGTGACGGTAGAGAGATAGAATCATGAAAGGGGCTACTGAGGATATCACCCTGTTTAACCTTTTGTGCATTGCTTATTGCTTCTACATAATTAAACTACGATAAGCTTAGGCAATACGTATTGGGTTTGAACTTTCAAACCACAGTGAGGCTATTTTTTAACCTGACAGTTAATTTTTCATCTCAATAATGACAGAAAAATTATCAAAATTTTGTAGATATTAAGCCTATCATTGGTTGGAACATTTCAACTGCTTCATGTAGAGCAGTTGATTTAAAAATTTGTAATTAATTAAATAACTGAAGGACTTGGACCTTTAGTTATCTGTTTACTGGAGATTTATAAAGATATATAAACCCCTCATCAGCCTCTTTTCTCTCCTCAGAAAGAGTATATTTTATCCCAGGTTTATACAAGTATCTCTGAATCTGAACTCAAATTTTCAAGCATTTCATCTAAATGTTGTGCGTTTTCTCTTTGACAAATTATAAGTATGGGCATCTCCAGTTATGCTGCATGTTAATTGTATTAGTTTTAGGCTACCAAACCTGCTCCAATATCGACTCGCACTCTATTACTCTATTTATCAACTTAAGACAAGAACACTTGATGACCCTCTTTGGCTTACAGTGGACTCTGTGGGTCAGAATGTTTTGTTGGTTATTTCCCAAGAACGCTATATGAACTCCTGGCTACACATTAACAAGAACCACTAAAAAAGTTAGGTCGGTGGAAATTCTCTCAGGACTAATTGAATAACGTTTTTGAGATTTTTGACTTCACTTTGTTTTAAATTATATTTAAGACATCGATCTTCTAACCTCATTTTTTTGTTGTTTTTTTTTTGTGTGTTTTTTGAGACGGAGTCTCACTCTGTCGCCAGGCTGGAGTGCAGTGGCGCGATCTCCGGTCACTGCAACCTCCGCCCCCCGGGTTCAAGAGATTCTCCTGCTTCAGCCTCCTGAGTAGCCGAGGCTACAGGCATGTGTCACTACGCCCAGCTAATTTTTGTATTTTTAGTAGAGACGGGGTTTCACCATGCTGGCCAGGATGGTCTCGATCTCTTGACCTCAGCCTCAGCCTCCCAAAGTGCTGGGATTACAGGCGTGAGCCACCACATTTGGTCTTCCTCACATTTTTGAGAGAAGACTGACAGACCACCCCTTGTATAAAATATGGTGTAACTGGCTACATTTCCACAATTTCTTTTTTCTGTTATTGTGTGTTTTTTTGCATTGGTCAACCTTGAGGCAAGATTCAGTGTTAGTTTCACTCCCAACTACTACTATCCTTTTCTTTTCACTCTGTAAGTCACTAGTGAGAGTGACTTACAGAGATTTAACTAAATGAGAGTGACTTATAGATTTAACTAAAATGGAGGCTTTATTAAGTTCCCAAATTTTATTCATAAAATTGTGCTTAGACCTTTTTCTCCAAATTATTTCCTCTGTTTCTCAAAATATCCCTCATCCTTTTGAGAAGGCAGCTTTTGTGTGAGAAGAAAAAATAATTGTTTTTCCAACTGCAAATAAATTTTATGTATCATATTATGCTAATTTGTAGTTTCACTTGACTTGAATGGACAATTCCTAATGCTGTTCAGCTACTGTCAGCAGTAATGCCTTAAGGTGAGTCAATCAAGAATTAACATTATTGTATTTGATACTGTTCTCTAAAACAGGTCAATTCATTTGGTTACTTTGGGACACATTATGTAGATAATTAATCCTAGCAGATACTCCAGTAAGCCTCTTGTTTTATATGATTTCATGAATGAGAATTTTCCATGGTTATTGTAAGCAATAGTAAACCTTTCTTGAAAATTTTCAAGCTAAACAAACTAGAAAAAAGCTTCTCAAACTATCTGTGGTGAAGGACTGTGTCTTCTTCTTATTATTATTTGCTTAACAGTCACAGACCAACATTTTTGTAAAATGCATTTTTCATGCGCTTGGATGGCATGACAATATCAAATTGTCATATAAATTTCTTGGTGCTTATTCTCAATTTCTGTACCTATCTTGCTGTGGATTGGTAGCAGTTTGCAGACCACCACCAGTCCACGGGCCACATTTTGAATGGCTTTGATGGAGGTTATTGTCTCTGGTAGAACTTCGGAGAATTGATTAACAGATTGTTCTTATATTTAGCAAAGTTAAAATTTATTTAAGAAAGATTCATTTCTCACTGAAGGAAATCTTTTGTTGAAGTGAAAAATTTCTCTATTCAGGATGGAATTTTGGTTAAGCTTGTGGGTTTTTACAAAAGGATGGCCACATCATCATTTAGTAATTTAATCTGCCATTTCTTATCCCATAGATAATCCAGTGCCTTGCCAGAGAATATAAACTTGGAATCCTACTTCTGTCAAAAGTTTACATGGAAGACATTATCATATCTTTTAGATGTCTTCTAGGTATTCCAGGTTTTGCTTTAGATTTGATTTGCTCATTTGTTTTTGGCTTGGACTGAATCAGATTATTAAATATCTGATTATGTAAATCATAGTGCCTTGGCTTCTGACAGAATCATTTAATTGAGAAAATTATAAATTGTTCCCATGTATTTAGAGACGCTATAAAAATATTAATATCAAGCCCAAATACTACATTTCCTTCAGGAAAACTAGGCCCTGGTTACTTAGATGTGAGCAAACTAGGCATTTTACTTGCTTTCAAAGAACATAGAGTCTAGTAGGGGAGACAGGTATATAGTCATGTAATAAAAAAATGTAAATGTATAATTATGTTAAGTGCTCATCTTAGTCCATTTGGGCTCTTATTGAGACAGCCAAGTAAAAGGAGCTCCTCAGAGAATCTCCAGCTGGTCTGAGCATGGGGAGGAGGGTGGGGCCTCGGGAAGTTCATGCCATTTGCAGCAGGGAAGGATCCTGGCCCCTCCTGTTCCTGGGTGGTTACTGGGGATTCAATCTGTGAGATGAAGGCCTGTAACAGAAACCCCTGTCTCACTTTGCTGTGTTGTTTTTCCTTTTTCCTTTTTGCCCAGTAAATCCCCCTCCTCACCCTTCAAATTGTCTGTGAGCCTAATCTTTCCTGGTCATGTGATAGGGGCCCAGATTTTCCTACAGCATTATGACAAAGATATCATACATTGAGTGATTTATGAGCAATAGATATTTATCCCTTATAGTTCTGGAGGCTGGGAAGTCTAAGATCAAAGGTCCAGTGTGGTTGGGTTCTGGTAAGGGCACTCTTCTGCCTCATACGTGGAAGAGGAAAACAAGCTCTCTGGGGTTTCTTTTGTAAAAGCACTAATCCCATTAATGAGAGATCTGCACTTGTGACCTAATCACTTCCTGGAGGTCCCACATCTTAATACTATCACATTGGGTTTCAATATGTGAATTTTGAAGGGACACAAACATTCAGAATATAGCAGTACTTATATATACTTATATCAATTATATATTAATATCAACATTATATGTAAATAATTTAGAAACATTATTATAGAAGTATATTTAATTGTTGGAATTATTCAGCCCGAAGGGATGATTCTGTCTTCCATTTTCTGTTTTATGTTACCAGGTAATGATAGCATCTCACAGTTCAGTTTAAGGAAGCAATACAGAGACATGCAAATCATCCCTAAGACATGAGTACTCCATGTGAGGGTGTTGTGAGGGCCTAAGAAGAAAGACAATCATTTGGGACAACGTTCTGAGAAGGGAGATGGTTGCTGCCCTCGTGGATTTAACAGACTTGGTTATGTGGCTAGTTTTCTTTTTCTTCTTCCATACCTGAACTGTGGTACTCAAGAGAATCATCTGAAGCTTGTGTTGGACAGGACAGGCAATAACTTCAAACTGAATAATGAGGCCCAAGATGGACAGTCCCTCGTTGAGGGTCAGAGCCAGCACCCTTGTAGACTGTGACTACTAGGCCAACTCCTAGAGCTAGAGTTCCATATGGACAAGGACAAGCTCTAGCTAGATCAGAGCAATTTCATCACAAAGCAAGTTTTATTTTCAATCATCGCTGCAGACCACAAAGGTCAGGCTAAATATCGACAGATCTCTATTGTGGGAAAATTTGGACTTTTGGCTTATTATCAGTACTCAACCTTGATAGGCAGCACCAGATTAACTGCTAAAGATTCTATGCATCTTTATCTCATTAGCCTTTTACATTTTATCCTGTTTCTTAGCCTCGGCTGGGGGACGGGTACAGTCAACTCCCACTGGAGCAACAACATAAAAGGTGGGAAGGAAAATGTTTATGTTGACACCAGGGTAGTGAAAGCTATCCAAGCTATGGGGAATTTAATGCTGAGGAAAGGCAAGATCAGGGTGGAGCATCCGGCTGGGGTAGCTGCCTTTCACTGGACCCCTACCAGCCCAGTTTGGGACATGCAAGGGGAACAGCACATAGATAAAGCTTTCTCAAGGTTTATGAAAGAACAGACGGCAGCACAGCTAACCTCCAGTGCAAATAAAAATCATACATTTAAGGAAACTTTAATTCCTGCCTGGTTAAAACCAAAATATATGCTATAATGGTTGATGATAAAAATTTTAAGGAGAGTAAAAGTAGGTTCGTAAATATTCTCTAGTCAATGACCACAAATCTGTTAGAGAATTTCCCAGAAAAAGCAAAGGCCTTCTTTCAGATTTAATTCCTATGGATTCTGAAATTTTTCCTTATAGATTTGTGTTCTTATTGCTTTTACCAAGAAGAGCAGACACTCTCCTCCCATGTTCAGCTGTAAGCCACAGTGATTCTGGTTTTCCCTCCTAAAATACAACCTTTTAACTAGAAGCAATGATTGCAAGACTTATAAAACAGATGTGTTAGAAAATTGTATTTGGTCACAAATTTATAGAGTATATTTGTCACTGGTAATTGAATTTTCTCAGTAACCTTGTGATAATTAACTCATGGGCTATGACCTCATAGTTTTGTCTTTTTTACTCCACCAATATAAAAAGTGTAAATTTTCTTGCTAGTCAGAAAAATATTCAGACCTTAGGTCTGTTTTTCTTTTTTTCTACTGACCATGTAAGAAAATAAATATGATGGTCTGTGGCAGAGATTGTGACTGTCTAACAATATGCAATCTTCTTTTCTCCTTAGTAATAGAATTTAAACTTTATTTAATGAAGCAATTTGCCTAGCTAGGTAGGAATTATTTGTGTTTTCAAAACATTATTAAGGATCAGGGACTACTGTATACTAATATGTCTCTTGACATACAAGAAACTTGCACTGGATTCATTCAACTTTCTAAGTGTTTAAAGAGTTAACATTTATTTCAGTGGATTGTGTATATTTATAGGCCTCATAATGACAGATTAAAGGCACTGATTTGCCCTGAGTTCTGAATGAAATCTGTGGAGCTGAACTAAGCTTAAAATATATGTGTGTGTGTATATGTGTATGTGTATGTATATATATATATATAGAGAGAGAGAGAGACAGAGAATATTGGACTTTAATATTTTTACTACTTTACAAGGAGACAGTATTTTTATTTGGTATTTTAATTTCTGTGTGGTAAAATGATAATGGAAGAATGTTCATTATGTTCAAATTTAAGAAAAATGTTCCATCCTAGTATTTGGAATATGATGGCCTCTTGTGTGCCTGAGGCATCTGTGATTTTTGGCCTGCTGGATATCCATTCACTAATAAAAGTACTCCTGTTTTGCTTTATTGAGCCATCTTTCTCCAATTCTCATGTGATGGGGAGGAGTTGACTCTACCTCGTAACTCCAGGGCTGAGAGGATACCCAGCCTGTAGGGTCACAGGGATTATTGTTTCTGGGATAGGCATGTGATATAAGCCTCCAGGTCTTCCCTCTGATGGGATTAGTAAGGTAGAAGGAGGTACAAATCACAACAACGTTGATTCTCTTTTTAATGGCATGGGAAAGCCTGCCTGAGAATTAAGCCAACACAAAGGGTAGCAGAACGAAGAGATGGAACACAACCAACTCCTGATATCATACTTTGAAGCAGATGTCTGAAGCTGCTGCCACATCTGGATTTTTTAATTTATGTGAAACAATAAATTCCTTTCTTTGCATAAACCTAGTTTGGGATGGTGTTCTGTTACTTATAACAGAAAGAGTCTGACTAACATGTGGTGCTCACTCTATACCCCTCTCTTGTGAATCATGTAGCTGGGCATAAATGGAGAGTCAAAGTAGAATAGGGAGAGAACGTAATCTAGTATTAAATGTGTTTTAATGGTGGATGTCTGTTCTGACCTATTTCAGAGACTTAGTGGGCAAAAACTTAATTTTCTACTTCACTGGGCTTAGGGGACTACAAAAAGAGATTTTCTCCTAAGAGAGACACCAGTTCCCTGGTTGAACCTTAAATTACCCATCACGGGATATAGATTAAAATAGAATAAGAAATGAGCAGGCACAAGGGAGAGAAGAAAATGTTAGGCTGCCTTCAGGCCATGCTTCCCTCTGCCAATACCATTCTTAGCCCTTCCAAGGAAGCAAGAGGTACCAGTTTTGATTAGTCAGTGTGCAGAGCAGCTAACAAGGCCACACTGACTTGTGGGTGGAGTTACTGTTCAATAAAACTGTACACATCCATGCAGGCTTCTTATCTCTCTTTCACTTCTTGGATCCGTGCAGCTGGATGGGTCAAGTGAGTGAAGGGTTTTCTTGGGACATGGTAATTTCTTCTGCTCTGCTTCTCTTTCTTTGTCCCTCTCCTCCTCATTCTTTCTCAGGCATGCATTAATGTGCTATTCTCAAGACTTCAGATTCATGGAATTAGGTGTCTCTTTTTGGAGCATTTAGACTGTGCACTTTAGCTCAGACTTTACAAGAGTTCTGAACATAAGGGTCAGGAACTTGCACAGCATTGAATACTGAGGTACTTCGTATCACATTTTGCTGTTGTTATTTATGTGAATAAGAAATAGTGTGTTTATACAATAAGAATGAGGTAAATAAACATTTTTTTCTTTTTACATTATCTTCCAGGAAGCTACAATCCAAATATATGGTTTAACTTTTATATATGTGAATAATTCTTTGGCTTCATAATCTGTATTCACAAGATTGTACTCAAGGGATCACCGGGCTGTGTTTTCATCTGGAGGCTTGTCTGAGGAAAAAATCCGTTACTGTGCTCATTTAGGTTATTGGTAGAATTTATTTTCATGTAGCTGTATGATTAAGGGCCCTGGCTTTCTGTCAACTGTCAGTTGGAGGCTGCTGTCAACTCCTGGAAGCTGTCTGTAATTATCTGCTACATGGTCCTCTCCCTTGGTAACTCCAATATTGCTGTTTGCTTCCTCAAGGGCAGCAGATCAGTCTTTCATACCAATCTGCTAAAAAATAATTTTATATGACATAATGTGATCATGAAAGTGACATCTCACTAACTTTATAATAAAACCTAACTAAGGGATAGATATTATTCTATTATTATATTTGCTATATTCAAGTAGCTAGAAGCAAGTCACAGGTTCTTCCCACACTCAAGGGGAGGAGATTATGCAGAGTGTAGCACTAAATGATGGAGATCATGGGGATCATCTTAGAATTCTGACTACCATAATCAATATTTGGCAAAGTATGTCTCATTGAAGATTACTTTCATAGGTTTGTTAGTAAATCTGTCTTCATCAAGAAGCTATTTTTATTTATTTTTTGTTTTGTTTTGTTTTTTTTGAGACAGAGTTTCACTCTTGTTGCCCAGGCTGGAGTGCAATGGTGTGATCTTGGCTCACTGCAATTTCTGCCTCCTGGGTTCAAGCAGTTCTCCTGCCTCACCCTCAGGGATTACAGGCATCCACCACCATGCCAGGCTAATTTTTTTTTGTATTTTTAGCAGAGAGAGGGTTTCACCATGTTGGACAGGCTGGTCTTGAACTTCTGACCTCAGGTGATCTACCCAGATTGGACTCCCAAAGTGCTGGGACTATGAGCATGAGCCACCACGCCCAGCCAAGAATCTTTTTCAAGCAACAGAATGCAAGTGACAAGAGACCAATTCAAACCATCTTAAATGAACAAGTTATTTTACTTACTCATAGAACTGACCATTTCAATGGATCATTTTGGGCTCTAGGCAATAATACAATTGGGGTTGAGAAAGATTCTGCCTTAATACAGTAATTAAAAGAGAGCATACCAGGAATGGGAAATTATGAACATTGGACAGAAGTTGGAAAAAGATCTGACAGAGAATGTAGCCATAACACAGGATGTGCTAGGGCTGGGACCAAGGGCAATTCAGTCTCCATGACTCACATTAAATCTGAAAAAAACATGTCATATGCAAAATTAGAAAGGAGGAAAACATAGGCTTCCACCCTGCACTCTGTCATATTTGCTTATATGAACACAGCATTGCCTCTCAGATATTTCTGCATTGGTAAATATTGTTACTTTTTCTGCTATAATAATAGTACTGATCTCATCCTTGTCTAAAACGCACCTGCAAATTTTCCATTTATTTTTTCATGTTTCAGTTCAGCAACTCTATGAGGTATTCTCTAACCCCTACCTCTCGTTCAGGTGGAGTTGGGTCCCACACCTCATATTCCTATAATTTGGCAGGCACTGTTATCAAACTCAGCCATCCCCTACTTCAACCCCTTTCTTTCTTAATACCTCTATGCAGTCATGGCCACAAGACAGGGTTCTCACCAATGAGACACAAACCAAATTTTGATATGGGGAAAATGTTGGTTGTCTTGAAGCAGAAATCTTCCATTTTCTCATCCATTCTCCCACCATTGAACACAGACATAATGGCTAGGGCTGCTCGAGTAGCCTTGTGAGCATAATGGAAATTACAAGTTAATCATAAATATCTGGTCTCTGTTATCATTAATATGATGAATGAATCTAGCAACTGACTTCCACTATACTTACTATATGTAAAACAAAACAGAACAGAAACTAACCTTAACCATTATAGTCAAATTTTTATTATGTGAGGCCTAATAAGATTCTAAATGAAATGCAGTCTTATATATTTCTAGATGATAGCACTGACCGTGACAGGGGCAGTTATTTATTTAATTTTCTGCTTAACCAATGGCAGCATGAATGAACTCCTTCATTTTGCAAAGCTTGGCCGGGTGCAATGGCTCACACCTGTAATCCCAGCACTTTGGGAGGCCAAGGTGAGGAGTTCAAGACTAGCCTGACCAATATGGTGAAACCTTCTCTCTGATAAAATACAAAAATTAGCCAGGCATGGTGGTGGGTGCCAGTAGTCCCAGCTACTCGGGAGACTGAGACAGGAGAATTGCTGGCACCTGCGGGGCGGAGGGTGCAGTGAGCCGAGATCGCACCACTGCACTCCAGCCTGGGAGACAGAGCAAGACTCCATCTCAAAACAAACAAACAACAAAAAACAAAACATAAACAAAACTTGTCTTATTATTTGTATCTTATTCATCTTAGCATCCTTATTTTTAGAAGAGTACCTAGAACATAGAAAGCGTTTAGTAAATATTTGTTGAATTGACTAATACATAAATACAAGATTTTGTCTTTCCAAGTTTTAACAGCTTACTTAGAAAGAGTAATGTGTCTTTGCTAATCAGAATGAAAGATTTCTAGTGGTATGATTAGTCTATTTCCTCGGTTATTGCCTTTTCTTATTCAGCATGTTATCAACAGCTTAAAAATACAAAAAAGACAGATGAAAACCTATCGGTGCTGCAAAAACTGCTGCTGTAGCTAAATTACTTGATGATAAAAGCAGTATTTAAAATGAAATACTAAAAAATGTGGGAGTATTTCTCATTCTAAATGTGATAAAATCAATAGGAATAAATAAATCTAGCACTTAGATGTAAAAAATGAAACTCAAATCTATAATATGGGATCAGAAACTGAAATTAACAAATCCAAATCTGTTTGTTGAACACTGGACACTTACAGGTTAAAATCAGATGAGTAAGCATCCACAGAATGAAGAATATTTGAGTTAGGGAAGATGATTCTTGTAGATGTGGAAGGGATTAGGAGAAAGAGTATAACATGTGACCTATTTGAAGCTCTTTCTTATAGGAGATAGGTTAGATTTATTTGATGTGGTTTCAAAGGAACTGAGAGAATTTTGGAGCAAAGTGTGGAAGCTTCAGGTTGAGAAATTGGAGCTCAACCTGAGAAAGATGTTAGCAATATAAAGTTTTCAAGCTAGATTTGTCTGACTTGTGAGGCCCAAAGTTGTGAATTGTCACATAACTACCTGGAAAGGATAATGACAGACAGTTTCCTGCTTTGGTTAGGAGCTTGACTAACTTGCCTGTTAAGATGTTCTAATTTGATAGATTTAAGTTAAACTAATTTCATAGAGTCTTTTCTTTTGTTCTGCAGGATGGTATTTCTGGGTATTTTATGAAACAAAGTGACAAGGTAGTGGTAGTTATGGGATGAGTATGTGATAACTATACTATTTGTTTAGCTTTGTTTTTATAACAAAGTAGTTCCCTATGCTGTTTTTTCCTATCCCAGATGAAAGTGTGTCTGATATTGCCTATTGGTATGGGATGAGGGAGGCTCTATTATACTTTGCTGTTTCAAGTATCAGGTAGGCAGCTAATTATACAGAAACATAAGCTTGCTCACATCTGAGAATACTAAACCAGAGGTTGCAGTATGCACATTTGCATTAACATAGCATGCTTTAAATGCGGCTAATACTGTTCCTAGACTTCCTTGAATTTTAATGCTTTTAAAGGTATAATCACGGTGAACAAAAGGGTTTACCACAAACTTTCCATACCATGTTGTGTTTCATTTTCTACTTAATGGATTGGCTTTTGCAATCCCTGAAAGCTGTTTTGATTTCCAGGGATAAATTTGAACTATGCAAAATGGAGATGAGTTATTGACTTGATAACTCACATATTAATATTCCTGCCTAAAACTTTAAAGGGAGTCCCATATGAATGACACCTAAGCTTCCAGGGATTTACCATGGGATAATTTCTCTTTCCCAATTTTATCTCTTCTCTTTTTATCTAAATTTTCTTTTCTTTTTTTTTTCAGGGCTTTTCGGTCTTCTCTAGTCCCATCTCCCTCTTTCCAAAATAATTTTCCCCAGTTTTGCAAATTATTAAGTCACATATTTGCTCTTGTGTCTTGTATATTATAGAGTAGTAATTTTAGTATGTTTTCTTCACTACTGTATCTCCAAAGCCTAGAATATTTCCCAACACATAGATAAGAATTAATAAAAATTGGTCAAATGAATGAATAGATGAATGAATGAATTCATGCTCCAGAATAAGCCATGGATTAAAAATGCTTCCAGCTCTGACAGATTTTGGCGCCTATCTGGGGAGAGGAGTGATCTTATCTGGGGAGAGGGAAGGGACATCCAGGTGATCCAACTGGAGAAGACCACTTCTTCCCCACAGGGGCATTAAAAAATCTAATATTGTACACTGTGGGTTTGTTTTCTCTGTAAGATAATCCTGTTTCTCGGTTAATTTTATTCTCATTATCAAGAAATGTTGATTCTTTACTTGATGCAGATTATATTACAAATCCTCTTCAATACATTTGAAAACAAAGGGATCCACACCTGATTCTGTTGCTGATGTTTTCCTGAAGTGCTACTATAGAGGCTAAGCTTATCAAATGCATTTTAAAACTATATATATTCAGGCTTCCACCTTCTTTTTCATTTATCAGCTAAGCCCAGTCCCTTAAACATAGTGGTCAATAAACATAATCAAATCATTTAACAAAGTAGATCCCTATCCTAGCCACATAAAATACATTAGTCAACAATTTAGGTAAAGAGCGCTGCCTCCATGGAGCTTACATTTAAGCCAAAAAATTAAAAGAAAGAAAATCAGTAAGCCAGTCACAAAAAAATAAGAACAAATATACTATCTTAGAAGGTGATACATTCATTAACAAATATACAGCAGGATAAAGGGTTTTGGAGGGATGGGTTGAAATTCTGCTACTCCAGCTTTATTGAAGTATACTGGACAAATAAAAATGGTATATTTAAGAAGTACAATGTGATGTCCTGATATATGCATACATTGTAAAGTGATTAAGTAGGCAATGAATTAAAACATTTTAATTGATGCCACCATGCTCTGATCTCATACAATCTAGAATTACTTTAAAAATAGAAAGATATATTAGTAACAGGCACATATTATTTACTAAGTTTATTTTTATGTGAAATTTTATTTGTATAATTTTACTTGGCAGTCCTTTAGTTTGGATGTGAATGAATTGCTATAAACTGAAAGGTAATGATAGAGGGCTATATAACCAACTGAGAAAAATATAATCAGGGAAAAGGTTATTAGATGTCTTCTTCAATAATATTTAGTTGGAAAAGGATAGAAAAATCATGCCAACAAATCTGGAGGAGTTTAACAAATTGTCATTGTAAATACTGTTCAAGATAAACCAATAATAACAATGAATTAAAGATGGTAAAACTACAAAATAAAAGTCAATATGAAAAATAGTCATAACATATAGCATGCAAATTATAGTCTTAGAAAATAGCAATGAAGAAATGGAAGAGATATCAAGCTAGAAGTCGTAGATACAAAATTGGACTTTTAAGATTATACATTAAAAATAAGTTATATCTGGGAGCTTCCCAGATGTATCCTCGTTCACTCAACATAACCAGATAAAAATGAACTTTTCCACCACATTGTATTAGCATAGCCATAAATTGAGTACAACAGATAGTTAAAACAAGCAGAATAGTAGAGAAAATTATGGTAATCTTTGATCAAGAAGATGTGAATTTGGTCTCACATGTGACACAAAGTGACCCCCTGTATTTGCTGCTGCAAATGAAATGGCTGAACCAAATGTCCAATAGGATCACTTCTAACTGTAGAATTATATGATCCTGGCCTGTCTAAAGATTCTTCTGGATTATTGTAATTAATGGAAATGATTAGTTGGTCTTGGAGATCTAAACTTATTTTTTAGACTCATGTAATCTCTCTATCATAAACCTGAGATCACACAGCTGCTTATTAGCACAAATGTACCTTTTAATGGGTCATTTATGGAAATATAAATTTTTTCTTTCATTTCAGATACCAATCTATTCTGCCCTCTGTTGGAAATGTAATGGTAGAGGACTAAGTGGGAATAAAGATATTTGGTTAGATCTGATGCAAAAAGATATTGTGGAATTTGTCTTTTCTTTAAATGGAATGGGTAGCAGATAAATGAATACCCTTAGTCATAATGCCTTAAATAATAGGACTATGACAATAAATCAATGGGATACAAAAACTAAAGTCACTGACATAAGGACTTTGGTTTTGGATAATCATTATCTTTTCTTAAATTATTACATAATATTTGGACATATTTATGGGGTTCATGTGATATTTAGTTACAAGCATAGACTGTATAATAATCAAGTCAGAGTATTTAGGATAGTATCATTTATCATTTTCTACGCGTTGAGAACATTTCAAGTCCACTCTTTTAGCTATTTTGAAATATATAATACATTATTAACTATAATCACCCTACTCTGCTACCAAACACTAGAACTTACTCCTTCTATCTGTGTGTTTGTCACTCATTAACCATTTTCTCTTCATCCCCCTTCCCCCAACCCACACGCCCTTCCCAGCCTCTAGTAGCTATCATTCTACTCCCTAACTCCATGAGATCAAATACTTTAACTTTCATATACTAGTAAGAACATGCAATATTGGTCTTGCTGTGCCTGATTTATTTCACTTAACCTAATGACCTCCAGTTCCATCCATGTTGCTGCAAATTGCATGATTTTATTCTTGTTTTTATGGCCAAGTAGCATTCCAATGTGTGCATATATCACATTTTCTTTATCCATTTGTCTATTGATAGACACTTAGGTTTTTTCCATTTGTTTCCATATCTTTGCTATTGTGAATAGTGCTGCAATAAACATGGGAGTACAGGTATTGCTTTTATGTAATGATTTATTTACATTGGATAAGTACCCAATAGCAGTATTGTTGAATCATACGGTAGTTCTATTTTTAGTTTTTTGAGAAATCTCTATGCTGTTTTTAAGAGTGGCTGTACTAATTTACACTCCCTCCAGCGCTGTATAAGTGTTCCCCTTGCTCTGCATCCTTGCCAACATTTGTTGTTTTTTGCCTTTGTGGTTCTGATTTGCATTTTCCTGATGATCACTAATGTTGAGGATTTTTTATACACCTGTTGGCATTTTGTGGGCCTTCTCTTGAGAAATAGCTATTCATGTCCTTTGCCCACTTTTTAATGAGATTATTTGTTTCTTTACTGTTGAGTTGTTTGAGTTCCTTGTATATTGTGGATGTTAGTACCTTGTCTGATAAAGAATTTGCAAATATTTTCTCCCATTCAACATGTTGTCTCTACATTCTGTTGATTGTTTCCTTGGCTGTGGAGAAGCTTTGTAGATTAATCTAGTCCTATTTATTTTTGGTTTTGTTGACTGTGTTTTTGAGGTCTTAACCATAAAATCTTTGCTTAGACTAATGTCCTGAGGTATTTCTTCTATATTTTTTCCTTTCTTTTTTTTTTTGTGATGGAGTTTTGCTTTTGTTGCCCAGCTTGGAGTGCAATGGCACAATCTCAGCTCACCGCAACCTCTGTCTCCTGGATTCAAGCGATTCTCCTGCCTCAGCCACCCAAGTAGGTGAGATTACAGGCATGTGCCACCACGTCCAGCTAATTTTGTATTTTTAGTAGAGACGGGGTTTCACCATGTTGGTTAGGCTAGTCTCGAACCCCAGACCTCAAGTGATCCGCCTGCCTCAGCCTCCCAAAGTGCTGAGATTACAGGCATGAGCCAACACACCTGGCCTCTATGTTTTCTTCTAGTAGTTTTACAGTTTCAGATCTCACATTTAAATTTTAAATCCATCTTGTGTTGATTTCTATATATGGTAAGAGATAGGAATCCAGTTTTATTCTTCTGCATGTGGAGTTTATTTTTTATTTTTATTTTATTATTTTTTTTGAGACAGAGTCTGGCTCTGTCTCTAGGCTGGAGTGCAGTGGCACGATCTTGGCTTACTGCAACCTCCACCTCCCAGGTTCAAGAGATTCTCCTGCCTCAGCCTCCCCAGTAGCTGGGACTACAGGTGCACACCACCTCGCCCAGCCAATTTTTGTATTTTTAGTAGAGACGGGGTTTCACCATGTTGGCCAGGATGGTCTCAATCTCTTTACCTCATGATCTGCCTGCCTCAGCCTCCCAAAGTGTTGGGATTACATGCGTAAGCCACTGCACCTGGCTGTGGAGTTTTAATTTTCTCAGCACCCTTTGTTTAAAAGGATGTCCTTTCCCCAATGTATATTCTTGTTTCCCTTGTCGAAAATCAGTTGTCTAAATATGTGGGTGAACTTCTGGATTCTCTATTCTGTTCCATTGGTTTATGTGTTTGTTTTTATACCAATATCATGCTGTTTTTGTTACTATACTATATTTTGAAATCAGGTAGTGTGATTCCTCCAGCTTTGCTCTTTTTGCTCGGTATTCGATTAGCTATTTGTGCACTGTTTTCTTCCATACAAATGTTAGGGTTATTTCTTCTTTTTCTGTGTAAAATAATATTAATATCTTTATAAATATTGCATTGAATTCGTATAGTTGTTTGGGTAGTAGGGTAATTTTAATTATATTAATTCTTCTGATCCATGGACATGGAATGGCTTTCCATTTGTTTGTGTCCTCCTCAATTTCTTTCAGCAGCGTTTTGTAGTTTTCCTTGTAGAGGTTTTTTACTACTTTGGATCAATATTTATTTCTAGATTTTTAAATAGCTATTGTAAATAGGATTGTCTTCTTAATTACTTTCTAGTTTTTTTTAATAACTATTGTAAATGGGATTGTCTTCTTAATTTCTTTCCCTGCTAGCTCATTATTGGTGTATAGAAACACTACTCATTTTTGCATGTTGATTTTGTTTCCTGCAACTTCAATGAATTTGTTTATCAGTTCTAATAGTTCTTTTGGTAGAGTCTTCAGGTTTTTCTACATATAAGATCATACTGTCTGCAAAGAGGGACAAATTGACTTCCTCTTTTCTAATTTGGATGTCTTTTATTTCTTTCTCTTGCCTGATTTCTCTGGCTAGAATTTCCAATACTATGTTGAATATGAGTGGTGAAAGTGGGCCTCCCTGTCTTGTTCCAGTTCTTAGAGGAAAGGCTTTCAGCTTTTCCAAATTCAGTGTGATTTTAGCTGTGGGATAGTCGTATATGCCTTTATTATGTTGAGTATATTTGTTCTATGCCTACTTTTTTGAGAATTTTTTTCCATTAAAGGATGCTGAATTTCATAAAATACTTTTTCTGCACCTATTGATAATCATATGGTTTTTGTCCTTCATTCTGTTGATGTGATGTACAGCATTTACTTATTTGCATATGTTGAATCGTCTTTGCATTGCTGACATAAATCCGACTTGGTCATGGTACATTATCATTGGATTGCTGTTGTATTTGGTTGAGGATATTTGTATCTATCTTCATCAGGGATATTGGCCTCTAGTTTTCTTTTTTGTTGCATCCTTGTCTGTTGGTGTCAGAGTAATGCTGACCTCATAATATGAGTTAGAGAGAAATCCTTCCTCTTCAATTTTATGGAATAGTTTAGGAGGATTGATGAAAGTTCTTCTTTGAAAGTTTGTTAGAATTGGCAGTAAAGCCATCTAGTCTTGGACTTTTCTTTGTTAAGAGGTTTTTTATTACTGATTCAGTCTTATTACTTGTTATTGTCTGTTCATGTTTTCTATTTCTTTTTGATTCAATCTCTTGGTAGATTGTATATGTCCAGATATTTATCCATTTCCAGTTTGTTAGTGTACAGTTGTCAATAATAATCTCTGATAATCTTTTGTATTTCTGTGCTGTCAGTTGTTACGACTTTTTCCACTACTGATGTTGTTTAATTGAATCTTCTTCTTCCTTTTTTTTTTTTTTTGGTTAGACTATCTAGTAGTTCATTGATTTTGCATATCTTTTCAAAAAACCAAATTTTTATTTCATTGATATTTAAAATTTTTTAAAATATCTACATCCTTTAGTTCTGCTCTAATTTTTATTAATTTTTCTACTAGTTTTGGTTTGGGCTTATCCTGCTTTTGTAGTTCCCTGAGGTGCATTTGTAGATTGTTTATCTGAAAATGTTCTACTTTTTGTTGTAGGCACGTTTTGGTATAAACTTCCCTCTTAAAATTGCTTTTGTTATATCCCATAAGTTTTGATATGTTGTGTTTCAATTTTCATTTTTTTCAATAAACTTTTTAATTTCTTTCTTAATTTCTTCCTTGACCCAATGGTCATTTAGGAAGCACATTGTCTAATTTCCATTTATTTGTACAGTTTCCAACATTCCTCCTGTTACTGATTCTAGTTATTTTTCATTGTTGTATGAGAAAATACTTAACAGATTTATATTTTTAAAAATTTGAGACTTGTTTTGCATTCTAACTTATGATCTGTCCTGGAGAATGTTCCATGTGATTATGAGAAGAATGTGCATTCTGTAGCTGTTGGATGAAATGTTCTGTAAATGTCTGTTAGGTTCATTTGTTCTAATAAGTAACTTAAATTCAAAGTTTCTGTGGTAATTTTCCTTCTAGATGATCTACCTAATACTGGGAATGAGGTGCTAAAGTCCCCTATTATTACTGTACTAGAGTCTATCTTTTCCTTTAGATCTAATAATATTTGCCCCAAATTTCTGGTTGCTCCAATGTTGGGTGCGTATGTTTATAATTATTAAATGCTCTTGCTGCATTAATTTCTTTATCTTTTTTTTTTTTTTTTTTTTTTTTTTTTTGAGACGGAGTCTCGCTGTCACCCAGGCTGGAGTGCAGTGGCGCAATCTCGGCTCACTGCAGCCTCCGCCCCCTGGGGTTCACGCCATTCTCCTGCCTCAGCCTCCCGAGTAGCTGGGACTACAGGCGCCCGCCACCTCGCCCGGCTAATTTTTTGTATTTTTAGTAGAGACGGGGTTTCACCGTGTTAGCCAGGATGGTCTCGATCTCCTGACCTCGTGATCCGCCCGCCTCGGCCTCCCAAAGTGCTGGGATTACAGGCGTGAGCCACCGCGCCCGGCCATTTCTTTATCATTATATAATAAACTTCTTTGTCATATTTTACTTTTTCTGACTTAGTCTGTCTTATCTGATATATATACAGCTACTTGTACTTCCTTTAGATTTTCGTTTGCATGGAATATATTTTTCTATCCCTTTATTTTCAGTCTATATGTGTCTTTACAGATGAGATGCGTTCCTGTAGGCAGCATATAGTTGGGCCATGTTTATAATTACTATTATTAAGCCAGTTTATATCTTTTAACTAGAATGTTTAGTTCATTTACATTCTTGGTTATTATTGATATGTGAGGGCTTATTTTTGTCATTTTATTATTGGATTTCTGGTTCTTTTGTATATCTGCTGTTCCTTTCTTTTTATTGTTTATCATTGTAATTTGGTGGTGGTTTATAGTGGTAACATATGAGTCTATTCATCTATTCTCTTTCTTACTGTGTGTTTGCTCCACCAGTGAATTTTATATTTTCATGTATTTCCATGAAGGTACATATTGTCCTTTTGCATCCTCATATGGGGGCCTTAAACATTTCTTATAGGGCTACTTTAATGATGATGAATTCCCTCTGCTTTTGCTTATCTGAGAAAGACTTTATTTTTCTTTCATTTATGAAGAATACCTTTGCTGAGTCTAATATCCTTGGGTAGCATTTTTTTTTTCTTTCAGGAATTTGAATATGTCATTCCATTCTCTCCTGGCCTGTAAGAGTTCTGCTGAGAAATCTGCTAGTAGTCTGATGGGGTATTCATTACCTTATAAGTGACTAGACACTTTTCTTTTGCTTTGTTTAGAAATCGTTCTTTTTCTTTGACTTTTGACAAGTTAATCATAATGTGCTGGGGAGAAGACCTTTTTGAATTGTATCTATTTGAGAATCTCTGAGCTTCCTGTATCTGGATGTCTATATTTCTTGCTAAGCTTGGGATGTTTTCATGTATTACTTACTTAAGAAGGTTTTCTATCCCTGTTATATTTTATTTCCCTTCTGAGACACTGAAAATTCAAATATTTGGTCATTGTATAGTCTCATATGTCATGTAGGTTTTGTTCATTCTTTTAAATTCTTTTAAAATTATTTTTGTTTGGGTTTTTTCAAATGACTTTTTTTCAAGTTATGGAATTCTTCTTCTGCTTGAGAAAAATTATAATTTATTATTGAAATTTTGAATGTATTTTGTATTTTATTCAATGAATTCTTCAGTTCCAGAATTTCTGTTGGTTCTTTTTATGATATTTATCTGTTTGGTAAATTTATCATTCATATTCTAAATTGCTTTTGTTATTTCTTTGTGTTTTCTTTCAGTATTTTCTTGTATCTAACTGAGCTTTTTTTTTTTTTAATTATACTTTAAGTTCTAGGGTACATGTGCGTAACGTGCAAGTTTGTTACATATGTATACATGCACCATGTTGGTGTGCTGCACCCATTAATTTGTCATTTACATTAGGTATATCTCCTAATGCTATCCCCCACCCCTGACCCCATGACAGGCCCCAGTGTGTGATGTTCCCCTTCCTGTGTCCAAGTGTTCTCATTGTTCAATTCCCACCTACGAGTGAGAACATGCAGTGTTTGGTTTTTTGTCCTTCAGATAGTTTGCTGAGAACGATGGCTTCCAGCTTCATCCATGTCCCTACAAAGGACATGAACTCATCCTTTTTTATGGCTGCATAGTATTCCATGGTGTATATGTGCCACATTTTCTTAATCCAGTCTATCATTGATGGACATTTGGGTTGATTCCAAGTCTTTGCTATTGTGAATAGTGCCACAATAAACATACATGTGCATATGTCTTTATAGCAGCATGATTTATAATCCTTTGGGTGTATACCCAGTAATGGGATGGCTGGGTCAAATGGTATTTCTAGTTCTAGATCCTTGAGGAATCGCCACACTGTCTTCCACAATGGTTGAACTAGTTTACAGTCCCACCAACAGTGTAAAAGTGTTCCTATTTCTCCACATCCTCTCTGGAGTCTGTGTACAGTGGCACTATCTCGGCTCACTGCAACCTCTGCCTCCTGGATTCAAGTGATTCTTCTGCCTCAGCCTCCTGAGTAGCTGGGACTACAGGCGTGCACCACCATACCTGGCTAATTTTTTGTATTTTTAGTAGAGACGGAGTTTCACCATGTTGCCCAGGCTGACCTTGAACTCCTGACCTCGTGATCTGCCCACCTCTGCCTCCCAAAGTGCTGAGATTACAGGTGCGAGCCACTACGCCCAGCCCTAACTGAACTTTTAAAATAACAATATTTTGAATTCTTTTCCTAGGGTTTTATAAATTTCTCTTTGATTTGAATCTGCTGTGGTGAATTGTGTTCCCTTCGAGGTATCTTTCCCTGACTTTCCATGTTTCTCGTATCCTTATGTTGATATCTGTGCATCTTGTGTAACAGTCACTTCTTCGAATTTTTTGAATTTGCCTTCCTAGGGGAAGAATTTCCCTAAGATACATTCATGGTGTTGGTTGGATAGGGTACTATGGCTTTGATTCTGGGTGTGTGCAGTAGTGGAGTAGCCATATGAGTTCTTTGGCTATAAATAGCATCGGTAATTTCTGTGATTTCCTCAGTGGCCTAGGGTGCAGTTGTTAGTGGAGACTGTGGTGAAGTTTTTCTGCAGACAGGAATGTCAGGTGGGCCTGACAGTGGGGCCCCAGTGGTGGCAGTGGCAGACTGACCATGCCTGTCTTTGGGCGCCAGGGCAGCATAAGCCAGCACCACTGTTAGCAGGTCCATGTGGGTCAATTCTTGGGCCTCCATACAGTTTGCTTAGGTGCTGGCAGTGAGAGCAGTGGGCTGACAGGTGAGTGGGTCTTTGGGTCGGTCCCTGGGCAGCAGATGTGGCATGGACAATGACAGTAGCAGTGGTGGAACAACATTTTTACTCCCATATGATCCATGCTAACGTTGGTGGTGGCTGCAATAGGCTGGGCAGGCCAGTCCTCAGGCCCACAGGTAGTATGTGCAGGTGAGTGCCAGCTCTGGTGAGAGTGGCAGGTTGAGTGGGCTTGCCGTCAGATTCCCGGGAGGAATGCTCAGTTGCTAGTGGTGGTGGATGGGGCTGAGCCATCCCCACCCAGGCTCTCAGATGGTGTGGCTGGGCACTGGATGTTGGGAGGAGCCATGCTGTGTGTGCCTGTCCTCAGGCATCCCTAGTGGTGTGTCTGGGTACTGGCTGTGGTAGGCAAAGGTTCCCAGGCCTTTGGTAGAATGCTTGTGTGGGGGTAGCACCAGCCGTGCTGTGGACTTTCTTCTGGTGAAGGCAAGGTTGCTTTCAGTCATATCAGCCATAAACAGTTAACTGGGGAGCATCTGCTTTGGTTCCAGTTGGTGGCTGTTGGCAGGGTAGCTTGTCCACAAGGGACTTGCAAATATGAAGTGACTTCATTCCTGAAGATGGTGGGATTGCTGCCAATGGCTCACACTTTGGACCTGGCAGTAGCAGCCAGCTGTGGAACCTGGTTGCAAGTGGAGGATGTCAATAGGGCTCCAGGGATAAGAAGATAAAGGGGTGTTGAGCCTTAAGACAAGATGCAGTCTGTTGGTGGTTGGACTCTCAAAATGATGCCTTTCTGTAGCTTCTTAGGACTTGAGGAGTGTGTAGGACTCAGTGTGAGTTCTTTTCTGGAGCGATGCTTTTGCAAGATCTCCAGGTAGCTCCCTATATTAGTTTCAGGGCCTGTGTGGATGAAGGGGCTCTCCCATGGCTAGGATTACAACAGTCTGCAGTGGGAATGTGGACCACTAGGAGTCACTCACTTACCCTTACCTCACATTAGGCAGCCTCCCTGAGATTCTAGCCAGTTGCAGCTGAGCAGGCTGACTCACTTCTCTCTCCTTCTTTGTGTTACGTGTTTCCTGTCACTTCTCTGTTGAATTCCTGTGTTTTCTCTTAGGTAATCTATTTGAAATGTGACTATCTATTCACTTTTTTGCTTCCTTTTCATAGAGGAGGCAAGTATCAGATGCCTCTAGTCAGCCATCTTGAAGCCCCTCCTTCCATCATTAAATTATCTTACCTTTAAAACTGAAATGTAAGAGATTCACTTCCAAGATGATAGTGTGACGACCTCTCAGGATGCACTCCCCAGTGAAACATGAAAAGCTGATGAAAACTATTGAAAAGAGGAAAAGAAAACAATCAACCACCTAAAATCTCTGGGAATAGTTCTACAAGTATATAGCAAAGGAGGAAACATTTATTCAAAAAAATATACTACAATATAATAAGATATGAATATGTGGCATTTGAATCACAATCGTTTCGTCTCTCTTGCCCACTCCAGCTCAGTTTGACAGAATTTTCATTTAGGATGCATGAGGCCAATAGATAAAGCTGCTTCTTCCCTCAGCTCTCAATAAAATCTCATCTTATTGCACCATGAGAGAAAGCTTCCTGTACTTCTCATTTCCTCCAACTACATGATGAAGTGAAATTCCTGGTGAATATGGCTGGGAGTTAGGGACTACCTGCTTTCATCCCACTCCTATTTGTAGAATGGCAACTGTATCCCACACAGGGAAAGCTGGGAATAGTTGAACCAAGATTGCTCTAATCTCACCTTGCTCATAGGAAAGAGGTTCCATAATAAGAGGCAAACCGAGAAGAGTAGAGGCTACTGTGGTATGCTGTGCCCAGAAGAGTGGCTCAGAAAGTTTTTCCGCAGGGAGAGGCAGTGACAAAAAAAAAAAAAAAAAAAAAAAAGAGAGCTCTGGTGCTCTCCCCAAATAACTGATTTTATTTGAAACAGAATATGGGGAAGTTTAAGGATGAGGGCATCCCGATAAATAGTAGCTCCTCTTAATTGAAGCAACACTATAAACCATAGGCCAGCTAGTTCAACAAAGAAAACCAGGAAAAGGGACACCTAAGAAGAGCTCTGCTAGGGTTTTTGAAAAAACTCAAAGACAGGCTCCAAAATAATCCTGCATAAGACACCAAATTTAATAAGATCAGACTGCTCAGAAATTTGTGTTTCAGGACATTGTCAAAACTAGTAGAGCTGGTAATTAGGGAAGCATTATGGGTAGGATCTAATACCAAATGAAGCAGCCACCTTACCAGAGATACCATGGAAAGGGTCAAAGAGAGCCCTGCTAAATAACTGCTATAACTGTGTTCCCAGGGTGACACAGGAGAAAAGCCGAGAAGAGAGTCATCAGCCTCAGAAGAAACTAAACTTGCCAACACTTTGGTTTTGGACTTCTAGCTTCCAAAGTTTAAGAAAATAAGTTTCTGTTGTTTCAGCTATCTAGTTTGTGACATTTTATTATGGGAGACCTTACAAACTAATATAAGTAGTCACAAAATGCTTTTTATACTCATGAAGAAATAAAAAAATGCATTTATTTATTATTATTATTATTTGGGACAAAGCCTTGCCCTGTTGCCGATGCTGGAGTGCAGTGGCGCAATCTCGGCTCACTGCAACCTCCACCTCCTGGGTTCAGGCGATTCTCCTGCCTCAGCCTCCTGAGTAGCTAAGACTACAGGCGTGCATCACCATGCCCAGCTAATTTTTTTTTCTTTTATTTTACTTTAAGTTCTGGGGTACATATGCAGAATGTGCCGGTTTGTTACACAGGTATACATGTGCCACGGTGGTTTGCTACCCAGCTCATTTTTTGTATTTTTAGTAGAGATGGGGTTTCACCATGTTGGCCAGGCTGGTCTCGAACTCCTGACCTCAAGTGATCCGCCCACCTTGGCCTCCCAAAGTGCTGGGATTACAAGTGTGAGCCACTGTGCCCTGCCAAAAAATTACATTTAAAAAGAAACAACCAATGTATTAATAGACAGATATGAGCTACAAAGAGAAATACTGGGAATGAAGAAGTAGTCATTGAAATTAAAAAATCTACTAGATGAGAGTTCTAGACTGGACAGAGTCATAGAGATAATTAGTGATGTTTGATACTTGTTTTGAATAATTCACTCAGAATATATCACAGCAATGGAACAGAATAGAGAGCCTAGAAATAATGCTGCACACCTACAACCATCTGATCTTTCACAAAGCTGACAAAAACAAGCAATGGGGAAAGGACTTCCTATTCAGTAGATGGTGCTGGCATAACTGGCTAGCCATATGCAGAAGATTGAAACTGGACCACTTCCTCACACCATATACAAAAATCAACTCATGATGGATTAAAGACTTAAATGTAAAACTCAAAAGCATAAAAACCCTTGAAGGTCACCTAAAAAATATCACTCTGGTCATTCTGGACAGAGGACCTAGCAAGGATTTCATGATAAAGATGCCAAAAGTACTTGCAACAAAAATAAAAATAAAAAAAAGGGACCTAATTAAACTAAAGAGCTTCTGCATAGCAAAAGAAACTATCAATAGAATAAAAATACAATCCACAGAATGAGAAAAAAAATTTGCAAACTATGCATCTGACTAAGGTCTAACTATCCAAAATCTATAAGGAACTTAAACAGATTTACAAGCGAAAAACAACCAACCACATTAAAAAATGGACAAAAACACAAACAGACATTTTTCAAAAGAAGACATACACACAGCTAATAAGTATGTGAAAAAATGCTCAACATCACTAATCATTATAGAAATGCAAATCAAGGGCGGGTGCGGTGGCTCATGCCTGTAATCCCAGTACTTTGGGAGGCCGAGGCGGGTGGATCACGAGGTCAGGAGATCGAGACCATCCTGATTAACACGGTAAAACCCCGTCTCTACTAAAAATACAAAAAATTAGCTGGGCATGGTGAGCGCCTGTAGTCCCAGCTACTCGGGAGGCTGAGGCAGGAGAATGGCGTGAACCTGGGAGGCGGAGGTTGCAGTGAGCCGAGATCGCACCACTGCACTCCAGCCTGGGCAACAGAGACTCTGTCTCAAAAAAAAAAAAAAAAGAACTTAAAACAGAATTACCGTTTAACCCAGAAATTCTATTACTGGGTATATACCCAAAGGAATATAAATTCTTCTACGATAAATTCACATGCATGGGCTGGGGGCAGTGGCTCAGGCTTGTAATCTCAGCACTTTAGGGGGCCAACGTGGGCGGATTGCCTGAGCTTAGGAGTTCGAGACCAGCCTGGGCAATATGGTGAAACCCTGTCACTACTAAAATACAAAAAAAAAAAAAAATTAACTGGGCATGGCGGCGTGCGCCTGTAGTCCCAGCTACTCTCGGGAGGCTGAGGCAGGATAAGTGCTTGAATGTGGGAGGCAGAGGTTGCAGTGATCAGGCCACTGCACTCCAGCCTGGGTGACAGAGCGAGACTTCGTCTCAAAAAAACAACAACAAAAAATTCACGTTCATGCACATGCTCATCATAACACTATCCACAATAACAAAGACATGGACTCAACCTAAATTCCCATCAACAGTAGACTGGACAAGAAAATGTTGTACATATACCCATAGGATACTATGCAAAAAGAATGAGATCATTTCCTTTGCAGCAACATGGATGGAGCTGGAGGCCATTATTCAAAGCAAACGAACACAAGAGCACAAAACCAAATACCACATGTTCTCACTTATAAGTGGGCACTCAACATTGAGTACATATGGACACAAAGAAGGGAAAAACAGACACTGGGGCCTACTTGAGGGTTGAGGGTGGGACAAGGGTGAAGATCAAAAACTGCTTATCCAGTACAATGCTTATTAGCTGGGTGATGAAATAATCTGTACACCAAACCCCTGTGACATCCCGTTTACCCATATAACAAACTGTACATGTACCCCTAAACCTAAAATAAAAGTTAAAAAAAGGGAAAAGATAACCTACAAAATAGAAGAAAGTGTTTGCAAACCATATATCTGATGTGTCTAAATTCCAGAATACAGAAATCATATATCTGATATGTGTTTAAATTCCAGAATCCTACAACTCTACAACAAAAAGGCAAACAATCCAATTAAAAACAGGCAGGGTTGAATAGACATTTCTCCAAAGAAGATAAATAAATGTCCAATAATCCCATGAAAGATGCCCAACATCATTAGTTACTAGAAAAATGCAAATCAAAACCAAAATGTGAACTATTTTATACCTCCATGAATACCAGTGTTCATTGCAGCACTTCACAATAGCCCAAAGGCACAAGCAACCCAAATGTCCATCCACAGATGAATGGATAAATCAAATGTGGCATGTATGTGGAATAAAATGTAATTAGCCATAAAGAGCAATGAAGTTCTACAGGCTACAACATAGATAAACTTTGATAACATTTTTCTAAGCAAAATAAGCCAGACACAAAAGGACAAATATTCTATGATTCCATGTATGAAATATCTAAAATGGTCAAATTCATAGAGAAAATAGATAAGAAGTGACCAGGGGCTGGGGATAGGTATAATGGGGAGTTATTTCTTAATGGGTAAAGTTTCTCCTTGGAGTGATAAATAAGTTTTGAAAATAGATAGAAGTAATGATTGCACAGCATTGTGAATACAATAACATCACTGAATTGTGTATCTAAAAATTGCTAAAATGGCAAATTTTATTTCACGTATATTTTACCATGGTAAAAAGATAGTTTAAAAATGTGGAACTGAAGTTCAAGACAGCAGTAATGAGGAAGGAGGAGGAGAGAGTACACTGAAGAGTGAGAATGTTTTGCTCCTTATTCAGGGAGGATAGGGATATTAAACAAATTTTGGCATTGCCGGAAAATATTTATATAAGAATGTCTGTTCAAATTTTACAGTTAATTACTAAAAGAACAGAAATATATTTTCTAGTTTCAAAATGAGCAGAAGAGAAAGAAGAACAGAAAACAGCATTTAAAAAAATCTCTGGCTGTAATCCCGGCACTTTGGGAAGCTGAGGCAGGCGGATCACGAGGTCGATAGACTGAGATCATCCTGGCCAACACAGCAAAATCCCATCTCTACTAAAAATACAAAAATTAGCTGGGTGTGGTGGTGTGCACCTGTAGTCCCAGCTACTCAGGAGGCTGAGGCAGGAGAGTTGCTTGAACCTGGCAGGTGGAGGTTGCAGTGAGCTGAGATCGCACCACTGCACTGCAGCCTGGTGACAGAGCGAGACTCCATGTCAAAAAAAAAAAAAAGAAAAAAGAAAAAAAAAAAGAATAAAATCTCTGGAGATTACCAAAGGCTGATGACAGGAAAAGGAGACTACAAGTTAGCTGACTTAGGAAGTGAGACAGGGTCTTGTGAGGGCCACTTCTGATCTTCTGTACCTTACTGTGTGTAACAGAGGGCTGGACATCTGAAAACCGTTTTGCCTAGAAATGTCTTTGCCAGCTAGCTTCTGTTAGACTCTCACAGTGAGAGGCATTGGCAAGTCATTGGAAGGAAGAAGGAAAAAGCTAAAATCCCTTTGCATTCATCCGTTTTTTATGCTGCTGATAAAGACATACCCAAGACTGGGTAATTTATAAAGAAAAAGAGGTTAAATGGACTCACAGTTCCACGTGGCTGGAGAGACCTCACAATCATGGCGGAAGAGCAAGGGACATCTTACATGGTGGTAGGCAGGAAAGAATGAGAGCCAAGTGAAAGGGGAAACCCCTTATAAAATCATCAGATCTCGTGAGACTTATTCACTACCAGGAGAACAGAACGGGGGAAACTGCCCTCATGATTCAATTATCTCCAACCGGGTCCCTCCCACAACACGTGGAAATTATGGGAACTACAATTCAATATGAGATTTGGGTGGGGACACAGCCAAACCATATCACTCACACCCTTTTAAAATTTTTGGTGGTGGGGGGTGGGGGTGCTAATACTGTGACTCCTTTAGCAGCAGTCACAAAAAGTGATGTGGAGCACTTGGTTCCTGCAGCATGTTTCCAGCAGCAGCACAGGTTTTGTGGGTCATAGCAAAGCAGCAGTAGCAGCAGTCCTGGCAGCACAGTGTCCTGCCTCTATCTGTCCCAGCTGTCCCAGCTATCCATGTTCTGTGACATCTGCAGGTAGCTTTGGGCCCCAAGTTTCCCACACTATCAGGAACATGGGAGTTCCTGCAAGTTCCTGCAAGAGTTTTCTGCAAGGCAGCTTCAGCAGTGGTTCCAAATAGGAGTAGCAGCAGTGGGACTCCAGCAGCTCCAGGTGGGCAGGGACCGTGGCTATAGGTGACACTATACCCCTTCTGCTCCTCTAGCCTAGGATGGTGGTTGCTTCCTGCAGATACCAATCAAGGAAGTTTACTTTTCTCTTTTGGCTATTCTAGGCTTTCTGACCCTTTTGTAACTATACCGTGTATTAAATTTCCTCCAATTGAAACACCAGTTGAAGTTTCTGTTACCTTAACTAAACAATGATACATGATGGAAGGGCAGTACTTCAGAAACCAAACTAGTTTTGCTTTTATCTTTGTTTCCACACTGACTCATATGTAATATAATTTAGTATTATTTATTTTTGATATCATATATGTAGAATACTTTCATTGATTTCATACATGATATAAAATGCAAAAAAGTTGCATGATAAAATATATCTTAAATCAAAATAAGAATATAAATCAAGAAAGAAATATAAATTTGTATTTCATAGTTTGATATATTAAAGTACACTAGGTCTTCTTCGGAATTAATGGATAGTGTATAAGTAATAACATGACTTAAATCAAGATAAGAATCACGTGATAAGCCAGTACACTTTCTTTCTCCTGACAACGCTTTTTTCGGCACATATAGAGAAAAAATTGTAATTATACTTTAGAAAATCTCTTCTAATATTGTTTACTGGATTCCAAGTTACACATTGTAATATTTTCATGACTTGTCACAATGAACCCATTAATAGGTATGACATTTCCTGATTATGTTTGAAGTATGATAACATATTTCTCCAATGAGTTGCAAGGAATCAAGATGTGATTCATTAAGCATGCTTATGAGTTGTTCACATAATTACAAAGAGAAACCATCCACATGAAAATAAAAACACAATTTTAGGCATAGGAGAAAAGCTTAACTTCTATGACTATTAGCTCCAGTGAAAGATGGAATACACCGAGAGAGAAATATACTGGGTGGACACAGCATTATGGAAGAGAATGTGCCTCCCTAGTTTTGTGCATTTCTGTGCACTCTCGTAGCTAAGTTCCCCACACCCAGAAATAATAGATGATGGTATCAGAAAGGTCTTTAATCCAGAATTTTCCAAGTATGACTAAAAGATTTGTTGTGAAAGATTGAGATTGTGATCAGAATTGGAACTGTATATATTACTACACATTAAATTAGGCACTAATAAATATATATACACATACATAATTAGATATTTTCAAATGGAATTTCTGTTTTTCGCTTCTTTATATGTGACTCCTCCCCTTCTGGATCAGCGCAGATTGCCCTAAGTGGTGTAGCATAGCAGAGTGTAGGCTCTGGATGCAAGCTGCCTGGCTTCATTGCCTGGTTTCATCACTAACTGTGTGGTCCTGCATGAGCTAATTAATCTCTCTGTACCTCAGTATCCTCATTTGTTCAATGTTGTGAGTATAAAATGAATAATACATACAACTACTTAGCAAGATGTCTACATCAGTTGCAGATTATTTCCAAGCAGCACATTACCATATTAGGATTGTTATAGCTGAAATGCAAAGAGAACAAAAGAGTCAAAGTCAACCCCTCACCCTTTAAAATAGGCTCTTGAAGTCCATTTCTGAGATTATATTACTAAAATATGGGCTTTCAGTAGCAAACGACAAACACTTGAAAACAGTTTTCTAAATTCCAGATTTTTCCCTTTAAACATCAAGAACAAAAGTATAGAGAATTGAACATGACATTTTTACTATAAACTATAAAATAGGAAGGATAGCTTCGGGACAATTTCCTGCCAAACAGGGATTAGATAAAAGCTTTCCTCAGCTAGAGGAAAGCATTGGAACAAGAAAGAAAGAAACACTTTGAGGCTTCAGTGAGAAGCTCACTCCCACATCTTTGGTAATTTCAGGGAGAAGAGGCATGTTCTCTGTTCCCTTCCGGGAGGCAAAGCTTCATTATGCTCTCCAAATGGGATGCCCAAAATGTTTTATCCAAAGGTTTTGGATTTTTCAGGCAGAAAGAGGGCTTGAGATAGTGTCTTCCACTACATCTCAGAGTTATGAAAGACCTGGTGTAAAGAAAATCAAGAAATTGCTTCATGCCTTAATGGAACATGTGGATTTGCAAAGAAGGTTGGTAAATCATAGGAGACCTAGGTTGAGATGAGCAAATACAATGTGTAGATATCAAGGCTATGCTACGGGTTTTGGGTGCCAGCAAGGATGCTTGTAGGTGTGCAAAGGCAAGATGGGACCACTTTACGTTAGATGTAGATACAGAAAGAACCAAGGTGGCCACAAAAAGACTCATGGGAAGAGTAATAACAGTCCATTGGAACCTGAGAAGAGCCCTTGTAAAATACATTCCCGCGCGACCTCTGTTGTGATACTCTGCTAGCAATTTTTTACTCTCAAAAGCTTTCTCATGGAGGAGTAAGGCAAGAGGCAAGCATATAAGAAATATGTGTATGTATTGTTGCTACAGAGTTTGAAAAAGGACTTGTCGGAGTTTTGTATCTCTATTAACAAAATAATTACCTTGAGATCTTTTCCAATCAGATGTGGCTGAGTTACCTGGAGAAGCCTGCATTACATTTTTAAAAGAAGGCTCAGAGAATAAGTTGAATGCAGTAGGGAGAAATACGGAAAATTGCATATTTGCACATCTGACTCATAATGGATAATTTCAAACCTTCTATAAATAAAAGTTTTACAAACACTGCACAACACATACTTCTAAGCCCTCTACACTAAGACTTGTATATGTGAAGGACAGAAAAGGAAAGGGGTCCTCTTCTGGGGTGCTTCTCCTCTTTCATATGCATTGTCTCTGCTCTGTAGTTTCTTTTCTTGTTTCCACATTTTTTTTCCATAAGCTGTGTAAGGATGAAACATGACTTCACTTCAAAAACATTCTAAATTCCTAGTTATCACATTTGCAACTCAGTGCTGCCTTCCTGCCTGCATGTTTCTATTTGTGCTGTTGATCTCAATTATGTTCTCTTATCCTTGCTTTTTAGATATCCTGATGATTTCTGTGATTCTCATAGGTTCTGCAGCTCTCTTTATCACGTAGGCATCCTTAATTTAACACTTTTCGCCTCTGCTTCTGTATTTGTCCTGCTGCGCAATCAGCATTCTGGATGATGCATCAGTAGGAGGGTCATTGTAAATCACCTCTGGCAGGATGAGTCACTTTGTGCTTAGAGTTGAGCTGAAGAGTGATTTCTTATTCCAGAGCAAGGCAGCATTTCGTTTTTAACCATAAATGTTCCCTTGCCAGCAACAGCTAGAACATGTTACTTTTAAAACATTTCCCATCTATAATAATATTGTATAGGCAGCAAGAATTCTGTATGTCCCCAACTAAGGACATATTAAAGAAATAATTATTTTTTTCAATGATGATAGTTTCATGAAGATTGAAATGCCATTTTCTTGTGTACTATTGAGAGGTGACAGCATGCTGGCAGCCCTCACAGCCGTTGCTGGCTCTGGGAGCCTCCTCAGCCTTGGCGCCCACTCTGGCTGCACTTGAGGAGACCTTCAGTCCGCGGCTGCACTGTGGGAGCCCCTTTCTGGGCTGGCCAAGGCGGGAGCCGGCTCCCTCAGCTTGCGGGGAGGTGTGGAGGAAGAAGCGTGGGCGGGAACTGGGGCTGCGCTCGGCGCTTGCGGGCCAGCACGAGTTCAGGGGTGGGCGTGGGCTGGACAGGCCCCGCACTGGGAGGGGCGAGCCGACCCCGCTGGCCCGGGGCAGTGAGGGGCTTAGCACCTGGGCCAGCAGCTGCTGTGCTCGACTTCTCGCCGGGCCTTAGCTGCCTCCCTGAGGGGCACGGCTCGGGACCTGCAGCCTGCCATGCCTGAGCCTCCCCCTCGCTGTGGGCTCCTGCCAGCCCGAGCCTCCCCTAGGAGCGCCGCCCCCTGCTCCAGGGCACCCAGTGCCATCGACCACCCAAGGGCTGAGGAGTGCAGGCACATGGCAAGGGACTGGCAGGCAGCTCCACCTGCAGCCCCCTGCGGGATCCACTGGGTGAAGCCAGCTGGGCTTCTGAGTCTGGTGGGGACTTGGAGAACCTTTATGTCTAGCTAAGGGATTGTAAATACACCAATCGGCACTCTGTATCTAGCTCAAGGTTTGTAAACACACCAATTGGCACCCTGTGTCTAGCTCAGGGTTTGTGAATGCACCAATCGACACTCTCTATCTAGCTACTCTGGTGGGGACTTGGAGAACCTTTATGTCCCACACACTGTATCTAGCTAATCTAGTGGGGACTTGGAGAACTTTTGTGTCTAGTTCAGGGATTGTAAATGCACCAATCAGCACCCTGTCAAAATGGACCAATCAGTTCTCTGTAAAATGGACCAATCAGCTTTCTGTAAAATGGACCAATCAGCAGGATGTGGGTGGGGCCAGATAAGAGAATAAAAGCAGGCTGCCGGAGCCAGCAGTGACAACCTGCTTGGATCGCCTTCGACGCCGTGTGAGCTTTCTTCTTTAGCTGTTTGCAATAAATCCTGCTGCTGCTCAGGCTTTGGGTCCACACTGCTTTTATGAGCTGTGACACTGGTCACGAAAGTCTGCAGTTTCATTCCTGAAGCCAGTGAGACCACACACCCACTAGGAGGAATGAACAGCTCCAGATGTGCTGCCTTAGGAGCTGTAACACTCACCACGAAGGTCTACAGTGTCACTCGTAAGTCCGCGAGACCAGGAACCCACCAGAAGGAAGAAACTATGAACACATGTGAACATCAGAAGGAACAAACTCCGGACACGCTGCGTTTAAGGACTGTAACACTCACTGCGAGGGTCCATGGGTTCATTCTTGAAGTCAGTGAAACCAAGAACCCACCAATTCCAGACATATTATTATCCTATAACCAAACACTTATTAGTTGTGATTTTATTCCATTTTCAACAGGTTTGAGTGGACTTGAAATGTATGGACCATAGGTCACTGAAAAAGCTAATTTTCCTTCTTGAAAGATAATCAGAAGAACCAAATTGAAGTTTCACATGCCAATTTTGATTATCTTTCTATAAGTAGTTAGAATGTTATTTTTTAAGCTACAGAGCAATTAATGACTAGAACTGCAGGAACTATTTAATTGGGTATTGATTTAAAGCCAAGCTGTTGTTTGGCTGAAGCATTGCATTATAATTAACGGACCTTAACCAGACTTTAATTTTTCTACATTATATTTGATTTTCAAGCGTTGCAATAGCAACCTTCAAACAATCTACAGAGCAAGGCTTGTATTATTCCTATTAAATTTTTAAAGTTTTGACTGAATTTTTAACATACCTTAAAGACATCTGGCTTTTGATAGTAACTTCAAAGTTTGCTGCATTGTGAAAACGGTACACTCAAGATTAAATTCTCCAACTGACATATTGTCAATTAGTCAATAAATTCATTCATAATTTCATACATGATAATATTATCAGTGGCAGGGTTTACTGAGGAAGACTGTACCTTATTTCCCTGCAGTTCTGGAGCCAAATAGATTCTCATGTGTTTGGAATGATACAGCTAAACACTTACTTGAGGGGCAGAAGACGGGGCAAAATGCCTTTTCAAAGACTCATCCATAATATTCAATGACTGATTAGTCTCTGTAGAATGGAAGAAATATATGAGTTTGTAATTTTTAAAATCGCCATCTGGCCACTGTTTGATTTGGTATAATACTTTAAATTCAAGTCTTGCTATGTTTAAGATGACCACTTAAAATTTTATATTTGGAGGATTCAATTAAATGCTTATCAAGTTCACAGCATCGTTAAGATCTGTAAGGATACAAAAATGAACAAAACATGCATGTTACATGTAACAAAACGTGGATTACAGCCTACTTTGAACACAATATTGCATAAATAACTAAACCACAAGGCAATACATGCTGTATATAATGTACTAATTAAATCTTTTTACAAAACTTACTAAAATTATCAATCATCTCTTTTTTAATGTAAATTTTATTCTGTATATTTAAGGTATACAACAGGGGTCCCCAACCCCCGAGCTGTGGACAAGTAGCTACACGTGGCCTGTTAGTAACAGGGCCGCACAGCAGGAGGTGAGCAGCAAGTGAGCATTACTGCCTGAGCTCCACCTCCTGTCAGATCAGCAGCAGCATTCGATTCTCACAGGAGACAAGCCCTATTGTGAACTGCCCAACTGAGGGATCTAGGTTGTGTGTGTGCTCCTTTTGAGCAGCTAACTAATGCCTGGTGCTCTGAGGTGGAACAGTTTCATCCCAAAACTATACTCCTGCCCCCACCCCAGGTACGCGGAAAAACTGTCTTCCAGGAGACTGGTTCCTGGTGCCAAAGAGATTGAGGACTGCTGATATACAGCATTATTTTATAAGACAAATATATATGTGTGTGTGTACACACACAACTTTACATATGTGGTGACCATTATATACGTAAATATGTATGTGTAAATTTACATATATATTTAAAATGGTCACTATACTGGAACAAATTTGCATATCTATCATCTCACGTAGTTACCCACTTTCTCCTCACTGTGATAAGAACAGTCATTGAGCAAAAATCCTGAACACAATTCACTATTATTAACTGCAGTACTCATTGGATCTTTTGATTTCTTCCTGCTACATATTTGCTACTTTGCATCCTTTGACCTTCATCTCCTCATTTCCTCTTTCCTTTGACCCTGGTAACACTGTTTTATGATCTAGCTCAATACGTTTGATTTTTTTTTTTTTAGATTCCACATGTGAGATCATGTAAAATTTTTCTGTCTGTATCTGGCTTATTTTACTTAGCCTAATGTCTTCTAGGTCTATTCATGTTGTGGCAAATGACCAGTGTGTCAGTCTTTAAGGCTGAGTGTGTGTATGTGTGTGTGTGTGTGTCTGTGTTTGTGTGCGCGTGCACGCCATTCATTGTCCTTACAAGTGTTTACTTTTCTTCCCAGCTGCTATTATAGCCAAATATCCTTAATTTCAAGTCTTATCAATGTTACCTAATAGTTGCTACGAAAGATTCTATGGTGTAAAAGTTTCGGTCTCCTCCATCTTATTTTGCTATTCTAACATATGAGTCTAGCTGCTTGTTTCTGCTGTAGGGTGGTTTGGGAATTTGTTGTAATCCCCACCGCAATTTCAAGTCTGGCAACTGGTGCTCCCTTTTTAAAGTGTGGAACAGCTACTTTGTGTCAGCTCCTGGGAGAGCTCACACACTGGGGAAACAGCAGTGGAACACTTGCAGGAAGGGTTATACTGGCTGAATTTTAAAGCACTTCAATGGATTCAAGACTCCAGTACATTTTATTGATTGTGGAGCTCAGAGCGTAACTGGTTGAATCGCTCAGGAAGTAGATGTTCAGGATTAACCATGCGGTGTTTAGATATGAGTCACTGAGTGACCTTTAATTTACTCTGCATCTTCAAAATCAGGCGGTGTGAAGAAAAATAAGGCAGTAGATTGTAGATTTATTTCCATTTCAGATCAACTAAGAGTCACTTGCTGGTAAAACAGCGTAACAATTTTGCATGCTTATATATAGAACTTATATAACTATATTGATTTTGGTCACTGATCAGTACATTTTAGGTAGTGTACCTGTGTGGGAATACGTATGAACTGATTGAAAAGGGTATTTATCTCTTCAGGAATGTTTTTCGTATGTAACGAAGTCTGAATGGCATTTAACATTTGCATAATTTTCAGTTGTCTTAGAGAATTATGCTTTTCCCTCTTTGCATGCTGATGTTTGTTCACTTGCACTTTATTGGAAATATTTGATAATTCAAAACCTTTTTGAGTATGTGTGCTTGTGTGACTCAACTTGGTATTTCAGTAATGTTACAGAAAAACCATTTTATCAAACATTAATTATCAGCATATTAGTTCCAACAGAACTGTGCCTTTTATTTTGATATTGAAATATTTTCACAGTGAACACAAAGAACTACTAAAAATATGTTAATACTTATATTGTAGTAGCAGAGGAATTCTGTACTGTGACCTTCTTTCTGTATTACTGAATTAGTGATTGGGAAGCAAATAATGAAGACATGTACTATTACAGGCTGTACATGGCTTCCTCCGAGAAAGGAGGTGGGCACATAGGCCTGAAAGTGCTAATGGATTATTTACTCACCACTTAGGACACATGCTGGATAAATGAAGTAAAGGGTGGGGTATCTTGTTCAATATATGAATAAATAGATAAGTGAATGAATAACAAAATTAAAAACAGCCAGTACTATTATTGACCACCATGTTTAAGTTGTATTTTCTGTTACTCACCTGTGTTTTCTCAGTTTTTATAGCAGAATGGAGAAACACAACCAAGGAGATACACCTAAGTAACAACAGCAATGATGTCAAAAAGAGTGCCTGAATACTTAGGGTGGAGGTCCTGGACATGCAAACCCAAGCTTCCTCTTTGCTGTGGCCAGGAATCTGCAGTGATTGAGAGCACAGACTGTATCTAAAATTCCACCTTTCAAAGTTCAGCATATTACTTTTTTTTTTCTTACACCTATAAGTAAGAAACTTAAGCTCACTATCCTTCAATTTCCTCATCCGTATAAAGTGCATAATAATTGTCCCTATCCCATAGGAATGGCTTGGATATTAATGAAATAATATATGCAAAATATTTAAGACAGTTTTTGGCAAATTTGAAGTATCAGCAATCATTATTATAATAATTATTCCTTCTATGGAATCTTGAATGTTTTGTCCATTTTCTTTTGTAGGCTTTAAAACTTGCTTTTCTATAACTGATGTTCTGCATTTATATCTCTGATCACTGGGGTTATCTGTTGTGTTACTCTGACAGTCATGCTGACCTGAGCCACACTGCTGTTCTCTTGTGTTCCAACCCTGATATTGTTCTCCCTTTCCCTGTGTGGTCCTTGTCATTCTTCCTCTCTGAAATTTCTAGTAGAGGGAAAGAAAGGATGTTCCTATCCATTCTTAAGGTAAGTCTGGCTTTCTCTGTTTCTTGATATTAAAACAATGCTTATAGTCCTTCTCTTTCTCTTGTATTCACAAGAGATTTTTCTAGGAACTAGTTGGGAAACAATAAATGTGGGTGCTTAGAATGCTATACTCTAAAATGCCTCTCACTCTGCTAGTAGTCATCCAGTGGCCCAGACCAGAGCTCAGCCTCTGTCTCCTACTTCTGGTGTCTTTGCTGATCACTGAAACAACACCTTAAAGTTAACTGAATATCATCCCCAAATCTCTTATTTGATATTTCTAATTTTGATGCTATAGACACCAAATAGTACTTCAAAAAAATCTCTTTATCATTTCTCTAAAGTTGCTACTTGCTGCTTCTATTACATGTTTACAGGAGGCCAAGTAGAGAGGTTGCAGGATAAATGCAAAGGCAGACAAGTGGGTATAGCACGGCTATGCAAATGAAGAAGTCTCAAAGCCAAAGCAAATCACTAGGACTCTATTGTGTTACAAATAAGTAGAACAGTGTAAAGGGAAACAACTTGAAGGTCTACGACATGTTTTACGTGACGATTTTGTTCAACTGAACCCTGTTTCCTTGACCCTTGAAGTTAGAAATGGTTTTGAAGAATGTCATACTGAAGCAGGACGATCCCCAGCTGCTTGTGTCTTCTTCCGCCGACCCATTCCTCTCAACGTCCAGCTGCTTGTGTCTCTGCCTGCTAGGGTCTCGGGGTTTTCATAGGCACAGGGTGGGGGCATGGCAGGCCAGAGTGGTCTTGGGAAACGCAACATTTCCACGCCAAAGCAGGAGTGCTTGTCTTCACCTAGGTCCGTGGGCACAGGCCTGGGGTGGAGCCTAGCCAGGGACCACATTCTTCCCTTCTCAGCACTTCCCTGCCCCACTCCTGTATCAATACTAAAAAGATATTATAATAATTTTCCTTTATACATATATTTTATTTCTCTATAGAGGACTTGTGCTTTTGACTATTCATGAGTCATTTTGAAGAGGCTGAGTGTAAATCTACTTAGTGACCAGACAGGGGAAAATGTTACTTATTTTTTAAAATAAAAATCTAATGGAATGGATTAAGAGGACAATTCATTACTCTCTCATGAGAGATTTCAGAAAAACATTGCCACCATTCAGCAGAATCGATTTGAGGATTGTTAAGGAATATGTGAAAGAATGAAATTCACAGATAGACAGAAATGATAAAAAGTAAAAGCATGTCCTGAAAACTACAATATTTCTTGTTCTTAAAAGGAATATGAGAATATGAAATAAAGTGATGACTTTTAAAGGAGATGTACAACACTGTGTATGCCATTCTGTTGGTATAAATCATAAAAATGCTCCACAATGTAAATGCTTAGGATACTTTTATTGAATTACTGCAACAATAATAACGTGAGATGAAAGACAGGCATCCATATACCTGCTAATTAAGAAACGGCAACACACTGTAACTACTGCACAAACCATAAAATATTCCGTTCATGTTTGTTGAGAATCCAGAGAGGTTCTGTTTTAGCTTTGTAGGTGCAATTTGGCTGGAAAAGAGGTGCACGTGAAGCAGATTGTTAAATGCTCTTTTACCATTACTTACTGTTTAACAAGGTGCTCCAGTGTGATGAAAGGGAAAGACAACTTGGACTTGAAACACTCCTTTAAATCACTTTTATGAGTTTCAAGGATATTGACTCCTCCTCTCCGAAAAAGTGTCTTTGCTTTGCAAATCACTTTGAGGAGTATAAAGTCTATTCTATAGGTATTGATCAAAGTCATGTGGCTGAATAGTTGAAATGGTTGGCTGTAAGTTTGGTAGTGCCTACTTTTTTATTTGCATGTTAAATTCAGAATGAAAGTAATGAGACTTATAACTCATTCCTTAATTGGTCTTAAAAGTATCCGACCAAACTGTTGTTTTCTCTACATCTACACATGAGGCTACATAACAATACGTAACTAAAAATGTTATTCCCATGATCAAGTGTTAGTTAATTGAAATGATCTGACAAACAATACTATATAGTTTCTTACTTGTTTGTTTTATTTTGAATATCAAATTTATTTTATTTATTTTTTAGAATGTCAATATTTGCAGTCTTTGAACCAGACTTATGTTTTAAAATTTTTGGACCTATGGACTTTACACTTTCTAAGTAGTGTGCCTAAATTACTTCTGCTTCTATAACTTTGTAGATAATAACATTTGCTTCTTAATGTCTTCACATTCCATGCTGATCACACAGGCTCTCTTGCTATCAAGTTGGTAATGAGATATTGAAAATGGGTCAGAGCACTATGCTGATAATTGCCATTTTGGGAACTCCACACCTCTTCACCCACTGGCCACTCCCTTTGTAATCTGAGTCCTATAATGATCTGGGCAATTTTAGCTGAGTGCTAATGACTCTATGGATCAATTGCTTTAACTTGGTTTCCTCACTACAGCAGGGATCTTCGTCCTGGTAAAATTACTAGTATGGGTCTAAGATTGCCTGGATAGTGTTGAAGGTTTTGCACAAAGCTAGTGCTCTGGCTAAAAAAAGTTTCTGAAGGCATGCGAGTGGAAGCATTTTATATGAGAGAAGAGCATATTTTATGTCCTAATGATAGAGGCAGGAGACAGCCAAATGTTGCCCAAGTCATTGTGCACAGGCAGCTTGCCTAAACATGCCCGTGGTGAAAAATTCTGTCCCTTAACACATTCTCAGTAAGGGAAATAAATCATTGTAGAGTGGCCCAGGCCCAGACATGTGCACTGGGAGAATGGGGTGGAGCCACCAGGAATTCACACTTTATGCAGGGCAGGAGCTGGGCCTCTTCAGCTCCTGTGTGGTGGCCTGGTATTCAAGTCTTGTGAGGTGGAAAACCTGCGTGCAGGACTCCTCTTTTTGTTGAGAGTTTTCCTTTTCACTTAATAAATTGCATCCCCCTCACCTTTCAATGTGTCCGTGTGCCTAATTCTTTCTGGTTGTGAGAAAAGAACCTGGATTTTAGCTGAACTAAGGAGAGAAAAATCCTGCATCATGAATTATAAATTTGCTATTAGAATTTACCAAGACTGGAAAAGGCATATAGTTTCAGCTCTTCACTTGAAAGAATCCAGGCATACTCAAACTGCCTAGAAATATATTTGGAGTCCAGAGTGTAAACATTTCTTGACTCTTCCTTTCAGATCACATTTAGTCAGTGTAGAGACTACTTTGAAGTAGTGCTAGAAGTATCTTTTTTGACTCCTTCTTTATTCCTTTTTTATGTCTCCCTTCCTGAGGGGCCTGTTTCATCCTGCCCATTCCCTTTGTAATTAAACCAGCTTGTCTCATTTTTTTGGTGTTGTTGTCTTCCCAGGAATGGGCATCAGCAATCTCACTTGGCTCTGAATGTTATATTCTTCAGAGTGGCGTTTTAATGACACTGTGGTGGCTTTGTAATGTGTCAACTTTGTAAGAGTGAACTAATTTTCTAAAATTTCCTTTCTTGCATGCTTCTAGTTATGATAAGATCAAGATATATTCTTGTGAGAGATTTAGAGACTGGGGATGAAGCACTAACCACTCTGCAGCTCATATATGTTACTGACATGTCTCATATATTGGTGTGAGCCATTAGTGAGCCTGGCAATTGCTCTGTCTTCTGCCAGATTCTTCTTTAGTTTCTCTGACTCCTGGGTGTATGTGCTTAGCTCCATGAAGGTGGGCCCTTGCCTCTGCAGGACACCTTTTTCACCAAGGTCATACACACAAAAAGGACTGACAGGTCTCAGTTTGTCCTTGTAGGCTCCAGCTCATGCTTGTGAGTTCTAGGTGGTTCCTTCTCTCTACCACATTAGGTCCATCTTTCCTTCCCAATTGCTTGCATAGTGGACTTCAAGGTTTAGAATTAAATGCAAAGACAATTGCTTAATCAGCTCCCCAGATTTCATAAGGTCAAATCTCCATATTAAATTGCTTAGTATCTATCTGTGTCTATATCCATATCTATACTGCTTCTCTAATGAAAGTCTGATACTAGTTTGGTGGCAGAAATAGTTCTAGAAGAACAGAATCTTAAGAGTGATTAATCTGAATTTGTTCTGGGTTTTCTGAAATTAGTTCTTTGATCTTATTACATATGAAGGTCATTATATGTTTCCAATGGTATAGAGGGCTAGACTATGTCATGCAGTGGAAAAGCAGTTACATAAATTATCACTTTTAGATACTTGTAATCAAGTACTTACAGATGGCCAGGCTCTGGTGACCATGTATTTGCTGTCATAAAAGCTTTTACTAAAAAACTGAGTATAATGGCGTTGGTTGGTTGGTTGCTTATAACTATGCTGGAGACCTTGGGGGGAAAATACATGACAGGTGCAGAACTTTACATTTCCAGCTCAAAGTCTGCACAAGGGACTGGAAAGCTTCTATGATTCCTCTATGTTTTGTAGTTATAGAGCTGAGATTTGTGAAAATCAAAATCAAATTTTAATCTTGAGCGTAACTGAATTGCAATGCAAATGATTCCCCAACCACATAAGGTCTCCTGTTAAAGTTAAGGCATTGATTAGGGAAGGAGTAGGTTTGTGAAAATAGGGGTAGGGACATATGAGCAGATTTGAGGATACTGGAGTGCTTGATCCCCTATATTTCCCCAAGCCTTGTTTGTCAGTTGAAGCAGCCCTTCTATTCTTGCTTGAGGTGGTTAGCCTCTCCTTGTCTGAAGAACCTGTAAGGGCTTCCCCTGGGTAGGTTGACTTGCAAGGCACTGCTGATCCTTCTCAGGATATACCTCCACATCCTCTCCTTGCTTCTAGACCTAGAATCAAACTCAAGTCCCAGTAGACACCAGTGGATATGGTAAAAGCATAACCTTTGAAGAGGTATAATACAGACAGAAAGAATTGCACATTTTTTCCAATTTATAGTGACAAAAATCCGGAGAATATCTGTGGGAAAGGAACTTTAAGGAAGAAATATTAAATTGGGTCAGGGAACTTAATGATAGGAACCCACTTAGCAAAAATTCCAAATTTAATGTCTTAGCTTGAGAGCAGCTAGAAGTTGTTCTAACCCCTTGGTTGGCTGCTTGACTGATACGTAGATCTAAATGCAGCCTACACTAAGTAACATTAAAATACCCGAATCTCCTTCATACATAGAAGAACAAGGAATTCAAAGCCTTATGAAAATTGAAATGCTAGAATGGATTTATCATGTAAGATCTGCTTACCATCCTGGGATGGTCCAGAGGATACTCTCTTCCACATGGCTTTGATAAATATATTCTTGGAGAGTTCTGTGATGGTTCTTCTCTGCAGACCAGATCTTACCATGGGACTGCTGCCATCAGACTGGGATTCCTAGAAGTAATGAGAATGATGAGGTTTCATGGTGGCAGGGGACAAATGGAAGCACTTAATTGACAAAGACAAAGTGGGCATGCTTATCATAATAGACAGCAGAGCCAAAGTCATAATCAGAAGAGTATAGCTCAAAGCTCTTTGGCATTGACTAACTAACTTTGGTGTTCCATAAACTAAAATAGAGTAAATTCTCATTATTCATTAATTCTGTATTTGCAAATTCACCTACTTGCTAAAGTTTATGTAACAACAAAATTAACACTAGCACTGCTTTTGAGGTCATTCGTGGACATAAATGTGTGCAGAGTGGCAAAAAAAAATTGATTCACAGACACATGTATTCCCAGTTGAGGTCAAAGAAGGCCTAGCTATGCCTTCTTGTTTCGGCTCTCATACTGTAAACAAGTGATCTTTTCATGGTCTATGTGGCGGCACATTTTCTGCATTTTTGTGCTTTTTGTTAATGATTGCTTTTGCTGTTTAAATGGCCCCCATCATAGTACTAAAGTGCTGTGTAGTGTTCTTTAGTGCACGAAGGCTGTGCTGTGCCTTACAGAAAAAATACATATATTAGATCAGCTCTGCTCAGGAATGAGTTGTAATGCTCTTGGCCAATAGGCCAAGTATCTTTAAACAGAAACGCACATAAAATAAGGTTATGTATTGATCAATTGATAAAAAGTTGTGACCAGAGGTTTGCAGGAACCTAATGCTATATTTCTCCTAAGAGCAATGGGCCAGTATTTGCTAATTCAATATTCATGATGACTTTATAGAACATAACTACTGTGAATAACAAGAATCAACTGTAGGTGGTACTGAAGTCTTGATTTTGTAAGCAGAAAAGCTCTAAGTCCAGTGAAATTGATTTATGAAAACAGAGCCACAGCCTCTTAATCATTTCCCAAACTTGAGCCACCTTACATACTCAGATCCCCTTGAATGGAAGGAAAGCTGGGTCCTCTTGAGGAAGGATCTTGCCACACTGCCACAAATATATCATGCTAATCACTGCCCAGCATTGCTCCATGGGACTTGCATGCATTGACCAGGGTTTTTGCATATTTTAAGGGAATTAGTGGACACTGGCTCTCAAATCACATTAAATCCTGGAAATCCAAGATGTCACTGTGGTCTACCAGTCAAATAAGGGGCTTTTGGAGGTCAGGTGATCAATGGATTTTGGCTTAGGTTCTCACACAGTGGACCCAGTTGGTCCCCAAACATCCTCTGTCATCACTTACCCACTTCTGAAATGCATAATTGGAAGAGACATACCCAAGAACTTGTTTCTTTCCTGACCTGTGAAGTGAGGTAAGTCACTAGAACTACCTCTTCATGAATTGGGTATAAACTAAGTGAAATACTACATTCCTGGAAGCACTACAAACATTAGTGGCATGAACAAGGACTTGAAAGATGTAGCAGTTATGATTCCCACCACATCACCAGTTGACTGGCTTATTTGGCCTATGCAGAAGACAGATGGATCTCAGAGAATGACAGTGAATTAGGTAAACTTAATTGAATGGAAACTCAAATTGCAGCTGCTGTTTCATTTCTGGAGCAAAGCAACACATCCCCTGCTCTCTGGTATATACCTACTGACCTGCATAAAGACTATAAAAAACAGTATATTTTCATCTGGCAAGGCCAATAGTACACTTCGTCCTACTTTAGGGATATAGCAGCTCCCCAGCAAAAAGTTATAATCTCTAGCCCAGGAATCCTGATCACAGTTGCCTTCCACAAGAGAACATACTCATCCATTATATTGATTATGTAATTCTGATTGGGTCAGGTATGAAGGAGCACATTGGTAGGACACTTACATGCCAGATGATGAGAAATAAATCTCACAAAAAATTAGTATGCTAGCTTGCCAAAATTTCCAGTTATTCAGTGGTATGGGCCATGCTGATATATCCTTTTCAATGTGAAGGACCAGTTACTGTATATGGCCCATCCAATCTGTAAGAAAAATGAACAATACCCTGATAGGTATCTTCGGAATTTGTGTGTGGTACACTGACACATTTATTGATGGTCAATAACTTTGAGTGAAGCTCAGAACAAAGGAATGCTTTGCAACAGGTCCAACTGCTGTGCAAGCTGCTCTGCCACTTGGACCATATGACATAGCAAATCCATTGATGCTCAAAGTGTCAATGACAGATAGAGAACTTCTCTATTTGGAGCTTACATCAGGCCCCTAAAGGTGACACACAACAAAGCACTTAGGATCTTGGAGCAAAGGCAGGCTATTCTCTGCAGAAAAACTGTAGTCTCCTTCTGAGAACAGCTTTTGGTTTGCTACTGAATCTCAGTAGAAACTGAACATCTGACCATGACCTGCCTAGTTACCATGTGACCTGAACTGCCCTTCGTGATCTGGGCAAAATCCTATACATCATACCATAAAGTCAGGCATGCACACCAGCACTCCATCATCAGATGGAACTGGGCCCTGAGGGCACAAGTAAGTTGCGTGAAAAAGTTGCCAGGACGTCCATGGCTCCTACTTCAGAAACAGTGTCTTTTCTTTCTCAACCTGTTTTTGAGGATTCATGGGGAGATCCCTATGCTCAGTTTCCTGAGGAAGGAAAATTCAGGAACTGGTCCAAGAGGTATGACTGCTGCACTACAGCCCTCCTCTGAGAAGGCCCTGAAGGGGAGCAAGGAAAGAAAATTCTTCCAGTGGACACAAATTCAGGGTTCATACCTGGCTGTCCATTTAGTTTGAAAGGAGAAATGACCAAAAGGATGGGTGTATAGCAACTCAGACTGCAGCTAATGCAGTCTGATGGGTGCATTTGCTGGATGGTCAAATGGGCAAAATCTTTGGAGATATTTGTGTGTGGATGCTCACCAGAGTGACTTCACTATAGAAGGATTATAACAATCAAGAAAGAAAATGATTCCTTTGGTGAATGTCAGTCAGCCTCAGGTCTCATGTAATCAGTTGATGAATAAAGTAGTCATGGTGGTACGATGGAGGTTATATACATGTATTTCCACTTACTGAGGCCAATATGACCATAGCCACTAATTAGTGCCCCATCAGTCATCCAATGTGATCACAGTGATATGTCACTATTCCCCAAGGGTATCCGCAAGCTACATGGGGGCAGGTTGATGGCAATGGGCTGCTTTGATTAAGGAAGGCATTCATTTTACCAGAATAGACACACTGGATATGAATTTGCCTTAGATTTCCTTAGTGTCTCTGTCAAAACTACCATCTATGAATTTATAGACTACCTTGTTACTATTTTCCTTTTCGTTTCTTATAGCTTTCCTATAGCTTCTGGCTCTGATGGAGCAATCAGCCTCCTAATAATAGCTTCCAATCAAAATCTTCTTTGTTTATGAGAGCTTCCTTAGTCATGAACCTTCCCATATTCTGTTGTATATAAAGTCAGTTCCTTTGGAGTGACCTTCAGAGCATTCTGTTCTTATGCCTCACCTCTTCTCTGTACAAAACTCTGAGCCACTGCTCCAGAGTATGGAGCTGGGGCAGTGGGTCATTTTTTCTGGAGGAATCCCTTACATCAGCAGTCCCCAACCTTTTTGGCACTAGGGATCCGTTTTGTGGAAAACAATTTTGCCACTGATGGCATGGGGAGGTTTGGGGATGAAACTGTTTATCCTCACAGAATACTGCATTAGTTAGATTCTCGTAAGGAGTGTGCAACCTAGATCCCTCTCATGTGCAGTTTACAATAGGGTTCGAGCTCCTATGAGAATCTAATGCTACTATGGATGTGACAGGAGGCGGGGCTCAGACAGTAATGCTCCCTCACCCACTGCTCACTTCCTGCTGTGCAGCCCGGTTCCTAAAAGACCATAGACTGGTGCCAGTCCCTGGGAACCCCTGCCTTATATTTTGAGCAGTGTGCCAGTTAGGGTTGGTCATTCCTGGTCTTTTTGGCTTGCCTCTCCTGGTCTGCAGCCTCCATCCAATAAGTGAGCTGGGGTGAAGATGATTGTAACCTCGGTATTCTCAGCTTGCTGTTCCTGGGCTAGAGCTTATGTTCTGAGAGTGGGAGCTGCTTAGAGATCCTTGACCCTTTGTTTTCACTCATCTGGAATTTACCTTGGCCAATGCAGAGCTATGGGAGATGATAAATGCTGCTGGCTTTTCGTCCTGGGGAGAGATAGCACAACCCTTGAGCTGAGGTGTGGGGGATCTCTGTGTTTTTGGCCACACTCACCTGAAGTGGCTCTCTTATCACCTCCAGTATGGAGAGGACAGGAATGGGCAGGTCATGGCTCAAATGCCGGAGACTATTGCTGTTCTTGCCACAGTTTAATAGATTTTCTTGAATAAATGTTTCTTCATGTTTAATGTATGTACTTTGGACAATGTCTCAAGACTTAATTTTTTAAAAAGTAATTTTTACCAAATATGGCTGTTTGACTGGGAAGCTGATCCACAAACCTCCTCACACTGCCTTTCTGGACATGTATTTCCAGGTTAGCTTGCCTTTTGATTGTCCTCAAGATATTGTATGTTTGGTAGGCAGAGGCCTGACTTTGTTATTACCTTTATTTGGAGGTTAAGTATGGTTTAATGAAATGTGGATGTATGCCAAATCGAAAAGAGGCTGATTGTGGTCACTTTGCCTTGTGTCACTTTGGCTCGACTGAACTACATTTCCCAGAATTCTCATTCTGGTATGTTTCTGGTTAGGATGGCCACATGAGAGATTCTTCTGGGATTATTTGGAGGGCAGAAGTACAGCAACAGCCGTTTTCACTCTCACACACTGTTGCTTATTTGCTGGTTCACTTTATTGTTGTGAGGCAGCAGCCAGGCCTGCAACTGTTCCACATTTCTTTGAAAGCATTTAGTTTTTCTGACTTCCAGGCAGGTGTGTGTGTTGAATAAATGTCCCAGCTTTTTTTAGACACCCATTCTACCAGGTTCAAAGGCTTGTATTTGTGGGTTCCAGTGTTTTCTTTCTGTGTCTTACTTCACATCCACTTTCCCATCCTGATTGTCTGACCTATAGAATTTGAGCTCCAGCATCAGACTCTTACAGGAAAGGGGTCCTGATCCAGACCCCCAGAGAAGGTTCTCGGATCTCGTGCAAGAAAGAACTCAGGGCGATTTCACAGTGCAAAGTGAAAGCAAGTTTATTAAGAAAGTAAAGGCATAAAAGAATGGCTACTCCATAGTCAGAGCAGTGGTATGGGCTGCTGGATTGGTATAATTGTAGTTATTTATTGATTATATGCTAGACGAGGGATGAATTATTGATGAGCTTTCCCAGGAAAGGGGTAAAATCTTTACCCTTTTACCCCGGAATTGAGGGTCTCTCCAGTTTTTAGACTATATAGGATAACTTCCTGATATTGCCATGGCATTTGTAAACTGTCATGGCACTGGTGGGAGTGCCTTTTGGTAAGCAAATGAATTATAATTAGAGTATAATGAGCAGTGAGGATGACCAGAGGTCACTTTCATCACCATCTTGGTTTTGGTGGGTTTCGGCCAGCTTCTTTACTGCAAACTGTTTCATCAGCAAGGTCTTTATGACCTGTATCTTGTGCCAACCTCCTATCTCATCCTGTAACTAAGAATACCTAACCTCCTGGGAACGCAGCACAGTAGGTCTCAGCCTTATTTTACCTAGCATCTATTCAAGATGGAATTGCTCTGGTTCCAACATCTCTGACAAGACATAAAGGCGACCGTTTACAGACACTACTAAGCCCGCCTCACAATTCTGAGAAGTCAACTATCTGTTAAAAATTATTATGTATGTATATATCTCTTAGTGCTTCCGCTTCTTTCACTGAAACTCAATGATACAAACATCAACAAATCTTTTTTGTTTTTTTGTTTCCATTGAAGAACTTTCTAAACATAACTCTGAAGCACAATTATACAAAAACAACAAACAAAAACACTTTTGGGGTGAGGCTGGAGAAGGACAAAGAGGTTGGGGTATATAGAGAATAATCTTCTGTACCTTTATTGTAGAGGGACCCTGAAGAAACTTGAGACAGAAAATTATAAAAACAAGATTCCTCTTCCGTGTCACACTCTCCTTTTCAAAGCCATGACCCCTGGGGAGACTAAGACACTCTTTCACTGGGACACAGGAGAGCACCAGGGAGCTAAGATGGTGTCTCTGGACCTCCATAGAAACCCATAATGAGTAAGACTCTCAGCTTCATCACTTTTAACTTTGAGACCTTGGGAAGGCTACTTAACCACTCAGTTTCCTTCTAACTTAGGACACTATTCTGAGATGATAACATTTGTGCTAGCTGTTATCATTATTATTCCCCCATCTTGCCTCAGGAGTTCAGTTTCCTCCACATTGGGAAGTTTGTGATGAGCTGAGAAAATGTTGCAGGCAGCCCTACTCGGCTGACTCAACACTGGCTATTTTGGTCCCCAGTGTCAGGGTTGCTGGCCTTCCATATATCAGTGTTCCTCTTACAGATTTCTGAGGTCCCCAGATCTTGTACTGGTTTTCTGGGTCTTCTGAAGTTGGCTCCAAACCAAACTGTTTGCTATGAGCCATCATAATGCTTTCTCCAAGAGGAAACAGTGTTTCCCTAAGTTGTAACATTTCCCATTGTCCCTCTGAGGAGATTGGGCCTTTGGGTCCCTCAAGAACCCTGCTTTTATAGGTTTATTGCTCCATCTGCTGGAAAGATGTATAATACAAGCAAGATCTGGGGGCTGAGATCTCACTGGATGCCTGGCACTGGGCTAAGATCTGCACCCACATTACCTGGTTTCACTTCCACAAACACTCTATCAGTTCTGTCTTACAGCAGATAAAACTAATGCTTACAGGAAGTGACTTCTCTCTATCATTCAGCTGGCCTGCCAGCATTGGACCCAGCTAGTCTGGCTCTGGAAAGTGCATTTTATCACTATTCTATAACCATAGCTGATTTGGGCTCCGTTAGGGTTGGAGTAGAAATCTTTCCTACCCACTAATAAACGTATGTATTCTATGTGTGGTCTTCTCAAAGGAACTCACACATTCAGAGAAAAATATCTACTTCATAGAATTTCGAGGAGTCGAGAAAATATTTTAATGCAAGCAATCTAGCTTAGTGTCTGACATGTAGTAAGTTCTAAATAAATGCTATTTACTTTACCTTCCTCTAGATCCTTATAGTGCCCTCTCACTTCCATCTAACTGTGGGAACATTTCCTATAGCCCTAGAGCATATTTCTGAAGAACTAAAGATGTTTTAACCCTCTTTTATCATGGGACCCTAATCATCATACTTTGAGTTCCCATTTCCAGTTCAGAAGGCTCTGCCTCAGTTTCCTCCCCATCACAAGACCAAAAGGCCCTTAATGCAAGTAAGATCCTTGAGGACTTGCTTTGATATTTCAGTGTTAACAAGGCAGGGACAAGATCTGTCTGCTCTTCATTCCTAACTTCCTAGGTACTAGATTTAGCAGTGTTAGCACTAGCTCATATTTGCAAATCTCCTTGCAAGTCCAGATTTGCTCCTGTACAAAGGAGGTGATTCAGAATGCCTTTCCTTTAGATTAGTATGTAATGCAATGTCATGTCGATTAGTCAATAGAAAATATGAATCAGCATGTTTGCTATCAGATCAAAACGACTTGCAACATATATTCATCATTGAGGGGTTTGGCCTTTATTACCAGTGCTGGGAAAATGCCTGGATATTTAAATATTTAAATGCCTGGATATTTAAATATCTATGTCTTTCCCAGTTTAAACTTCCTGTGCAAATTAAAGAGGCTCGACCCAGTGACCTCTAAGGTTTATTTATCTTAAATTCAGGTGCTTTCATATTTCATATCTTGTTCATATTTACCAAAGAATAACCTTGGCACTTTGCTGGGTATCTCATTAAGATTCAAAAATAGGTACCAGTGTTCTTACTAATTCTAGCTTGAAAACTATAATTAATAATATACAAATTTAATTTATGGTATTTTAGTGACATTTTATCATACTTTTATTGCAAGGAAATTTGCTTTTTTTAACTCCTGGTTTATCAATGTTTACTTTTTTTTTTTTGAGATGGAGTCTTGCTCTGTCACCCAGGCTGGAGTGCAGTGGCGCTATCTCAGGTCACCACAACCTCTGCCTCCTAGGTTCAAGCGATTCTCCTGCCTCAGCCTCCCAAGTAGCTGAGACTATAGGCGCGTGCCACCACGCCCAACTAATTTTTTGTATTTTTAGTAGAGACGGGGTTTCACCATGTTAGCCAGGATGGTCTTGATCTCCTGACCTCGTGATCCTCCCGCCTCAGCCTCCCAAAGTCCTGGGATCACAGGCGTGAGCTACCACGCTTGGCCCAATGTTTACTTTTAAAAACAGCTTAAACGTAAGAGAGCTTTTATATGTAGTTCTTGATAGGAAAGTTTAATGGTCAAAATTTGAAATATGATGAAAAACATTTCATAACTATCGATTTCACAGATGAACTTTAAAATTGTAACATACGCTATTTTTATTAAAAATATCACCACTCTGTATATAATTCTGAACATTTCTGAATAACGTTAAGTCGACTAGTTATAATACACCTTAAAAAGAATGTTTTAAATTTGTCCCTCCTTCTGTGGGAGGAAAGTTGGCCTAGTTGAAGCTAGGAATCCGTGACTCTAATCCAGGTCTCCTTTATAAAAAGAAAATATACTTTAAAGAACTTGGGGATCATCTTATCAAAAAGGATTAGAAGATGTACTAGAGGAATTATCATTTGTCTGGAGAATCAAATGGCTCACAATGGTTATTACCCTGCTTAAGTATATAGTAAAATAGACTGATTACAGCTTCCTGCTTACCAGGATTAAATACTATAATTTCTAAAATGCTCCTCAGGTATTTTAAATCCTTGTTCATTTTTTTTTTATTTTTCGCTCGTTGGCATTTTGTGTTGTAATTAGTGTGCAGAGAAAGTCTGCATATGTCTATTGTATGAGCCCCTACACCTGTTTTACCGTCTGTCTCTTTCAACAGATTACTTTAAGGGCAATACAAAATACTTTGATTTTTCAATTCAAATCAGTCATATTGGTAATATGGCATTGCTCTGCTAACTAATAAATTATTCTGCATCTCAAAACATGTGATCTGAAAGACAGGAAAGGTCCAAGAGCACGTGTGCAAAGGAGTGCACCCTTGTAGCAGCAAGATTTGTATTGCATTCTGCTCACATGGATTCCAATCTGTAGTATTTTATTTGACTGGTATACTTTTACAAAATAAATGAAATCAAGAAATTTGAATGTATGTGTTTCAAGGAAGCCCAGTAAACTTTACTTATATTGAAAAGGTAGGCCGGGTGCGGTGGCTCACGTCTGTAATCCCAGCACTTTGGGAGGGTGAGGTGGGTGGATCACGAGGTCAGGAGTTTGAGACCAGCCTGATCAACACAGTGAAACCCTGTCTACTAAAAATACAAAAATTAGCCGGGCGTGGTGGCACATGCCTGTAATCCCAGCTACTCAGGAGGCTGAGGCAGGAGAATCGCTTGAACCTGGGGGGTGGAGGTTGCAGTGAGCCGAGATCATGCCACTGCACTCCAGCCTGGGCAACAGAGCGAGACTCTGTCTCAAACAACAACAACAACCACAAAAAAAAAAAAAAAAAGGAAAGAGAAGGTAAAAATCTAGATAAGGACCTCCACCTCTCAGTATTTGCTTTAGACTATAAGAACACTGTACCCTTCAAAGGCTATTTATTTCCCTCCCAGGACGTGGGGCCTAATGTTCTATGGCACATTTGTCATGCGACAGCATGATTTGTTTGCCTACATATTAGAATTCTCTTGCTTCAAAGATGAAACAGCAACTGAATATAAAGTTATATATTTGGGGTGGGAGTTGATATAGATATAAATAGCAGAACTCTTAATATTAATTATTAGATAACTTAAGCATAGATAGCAAGAAACAGACTAGAGTAGCATGACAAAAAATTTAAAAGTCATTTTGCTTTAAGTCATTTTGTTTATCTGAATTTCATATTCCAGCTACAATTCTCCTTATAAATCAGTATTTTCTAATCTCACTCTTGATGCAATGCTAGAGCTAACTGTGCTGAATAATAATGTTTTTCCTCAGGTACAGAGGAATGAAGAAGGAATAAACAGACCTTCTGGATAATTGCATCAGCCTTCCCCACTATTCCAATGCCATGCTAACATTTCAAGTAATGTCCCTTTTGTCTTGCTGAGAAAAAATCATTTCATGATTTATTACACTGGATTAAAGGCTATGCACACTCTGGAGTTGGAACATGACTGAAGGGCAAGCAAGCATAAAGGATATCAGAAACAGTTGATGTGTTTAAATTTTTCTGAATTTCTCAAGTAAACTTTTTAGAAAGTAGTCTGAAGATAAAATGGTTATATAAGTTACTTAAACTGTAGATGATGGCACCTTTATCCCTATATAATAAAATTAAGGTAAGAATTAGTTCTACAAAAAGCTTTCTCTTTTAGAGATTTCTGTTTTATCAGATTACTGTTTGCCAAAGTGAATTTCATAATATGTGACTTTTTTTCAGTATCATTGATTGTCATTGAGCTTGAGAGCCTGAGTTTTTGCTGAAATTGTTCCAATGCACAGAAAATGCCATAAAATTGAGCCTACCGTGGGTTTTTTTTTTTTTTTTTGGATATTACCTACACTTGTAGAAAATCAAAGTTTATTCTAGTCTTTGTATGCTCTGCATATCTGAAATACAAGAGGGGCTTCTGTCAGTCTGGAAGTGATGATATTTGATTTCTCATTTCTTACTATGGTCTCTCTCCAGATAAGTAAGTTAGCTAATTCATCTACTTGATCCTCAATTAATGGCCTTCTTGATTAAATAAGAAGATGACAAGGTTTCTCCTTAATATGAAATTTAAATTACACAGAGCAAAAAAAAATTGTATTAATCTTTAATACCTCCCATGGAGACTTGAATTCTTCACTATACAGTCCAATAAATGGAATATTTAAATATTTAAAGGTTCCAGCAAAAAGTTCCAGCCAGCTGTACTGTTCTAATAACAAGGTCTATCAACTTTTTTTTAACTGAGCAATTTTATGATATTTTGTGAAGAGAAAGAAAAAACCTGCTTAGCCAGCCAGTTACCTGCTTACTTAAGGCAGATTATTTATCCTAGAGGTCCCATTGTCTAAGGCAGATTATGTATCCTATTGTCTTCTACTGACATTCATTTCTATTCATCATTTATAAACTTTATTGAAACATAATTTCAAAATAAAAAGATATGCCATCATCATCACCAACAAAATTATGTTGATGATAGAAATCTTATTGTTTTCTCAGACTTAATCTATCCTCAAAATATAATTTTCAAAACATTTAAAGACTTGATTCTTTTACAAGTTGAGAGAGGATGAGTCAACAATTTATTTAATTAATGATGAAAACAATAGGATTGTAAAACTGATTCATAAATTTATAGATAAGACAGAAGTATTTATAGTCCCTGAAAGACATAATATTGATATAGGATTGTTAAATTAAATAGAAAGCTAGTACCCTTCAAGGATTTGTGGGTGTAGCTTTTGACTGACAGAATAAAACTCAGATTCACAAAAGGCCGGAGAGTTTTTTTGGGAGAATTATATCATCAGAAACACTATCAGCCACCAGCTTGCACTGTAAGTGAGAAAGACAGTACAGAATGAAAGGGGGTCATTGAACTCCCAGAAAACAGGCTTAGAAAATGATTCAACTGCAAACATGTGCTAGCTTTCTTGAAAAAAAGGGGCTAAATATTTGTTGCTTAGTGTTGTGAAGTTTGGGGGGTAATTTAAGCAGTAGATAATTAAGACACAATGAAAGGTTAAATGTTATATTCGAAATAGGTGTTTTACACACAATTTAGAAATGGAGATAAGAAAAGTATGCAGATATCGATAACACAAGTAAAGTAAGATAAATGTCACAAGAGAAATTCACAGCAAGTCTATGTCAACTTGTTGAAAGAGTGAGCAAAGAGCATTCCTGGCCATATTGATTAGAACCAGGCAAGATGTTATGCAAGAAGAAATAATTGAAAACACAGGAATTGAATTTGAAACCTAACAATTAGAAGTTGTGTGATCCACAGCTGGTCAACTGCCTTTACTTGTTTCTCTGAACGAGAATCCCTCATGAGGATTAAATAGGCCAAAGGTACATGCTTTTTTATCCAGGGTGGTCTACTTTCATGCCATTTTCCCAGCAAATATATTAAAAGTGCCCTCTTTTACTCTCAGTGAAGTCTTGCTTTGGATGATGAATTATATGGTTACCTGAGGATTGGTTCAAATAATGCATAGGCAATTTTAAAAAGTGATACTAAACAAAAAAAAAAAACCCACCAAAATTTTACACTTTGCAAGAAACATAATTAATTTTAATAAATTTTATCACAAAGTTACCCTTTGCACTTACATACAAGTATGAACAGAGGCTTCATATACTTACATATATCAATGTATATATGAGCATATTTATACTATACACCCCAAAACATATAAAAATAGAAAGCATGTTTGCATAACAGTTTAGAAAGATTAATCTGACGGTGATGAGTCATAATTCAGAGTAAGGAAAAAGATATTGCCTCAAGTTTGGTATTGGATTTTTCCATTTCACACACAAGATTGATGAATTTCTGTCTAATGGGGTATAATATATGAAATCAGATATATCATAACATATCTATGGTTATGTCTCACCCACCATAAATTATTTAAAAGGGAAGCAAAATCAATAAAACAACAAAAAGCTCAACTTTAAACACAATCATCTGGGGTAACTAGAGGAGCAATGGGAATAGCAACTGAAGGATAATTGGTCACAACTGTTTTCATCAAATATATTTTTGGTGCAGAGAAAAACTATTTTCCTTATTCCCAGAGCGAGTAAGAATGCAGAGACATGAATACTTTGGTTGGGATTTGGAAAATATAGTCAAACTTTAACAACTTTATACAACAGTTCTTAAAAATGTATTAGTGTCAAACTCACCCTTTAGTGACGAAGAGGAGTGACAGCTGTCTTCGCACAGCTGATTGCAGAGAATAGTGTGTGCAACGTCATTGCAGGTACTACTTCAGGGTGATTCATTGGAAATCTGTCTTGAGAATTAAAACATTAACCAGAACTTTTAATACAATTTTTAAGCTAAAGAAAAATTCATTGGCTTGAGGCACTTTTTCAGAACAGGGATTTAACGCTCTGGCAAGGGCCTGAGGATGAGGCAACCTTGCTGCTAACGCAGCTTCTTAGAAGCCTAAATAAATTGATAACCCAAAATCAGGGCAGTGAAAATACCTGTGTTGACCTGGCAGAGAAAGTAAAAAAAAAGCTCAGATGTGGACATCCTGAAATGTATGTACTAGGTGAGGCCATAACACTTATGAGAGAATTATGTTCCAGGGAGGACCCAGAGGACAATCTAATCACCAAGGGCATCAGGAAAGCACTGGATAGAAGGCCAGCAGCATTGCTGAGAAATCCAGCGGTGGCTGTGCTCTGCAGACAGAGCCACCCACCTCAAGGGTCATGTTACATTTCTATTGTTCTAACAATTACAACTAACCAATTCATAACTTAAAGGCAATTCTTACACTCAGTGATTTTCTCAAAATTGAGGTTTAAGCCTGAGTTGTACTAAATTAATAGTATGAATGTATGTGCTGCTTAAAGAAAGCAATTGCTTTTCTCTTTGTGCTCATGTATTACTTGTCTTCGAGAAAACTGTATTCTGCATAAAGTGTAATGTTCTGCGTGGTCAGAAAGGTTTAGTAGAATGAGCACAGGCTCTCAAATCAGAAAGAATTGTAATTTTGGCTATAAAAAGTTTTGAATTTTAAATTATATTAATATATTAAGCTCTTACACTTATTGAATGCATATTATGTGCAGATAACTCTTCTGGGCACTTTATTTGGAATTAATTATTTAATCCTCATAACAACGCCATGAAGATCATACTATTACCATCCAAAGTTTACTGAGGAAGATACTGAGGCAAGGTTGGTGACTAGTAACATGACCACATTTGCTGTGGATAGGTCAATCCAGGACATCTGACTTCAAAACTTGCAATCTTAGCCATATGATAATTTGCATCTTTATTTTGATTCATGATTCTAAGAAATGTTCATTGAGCTCTTACGCTGTTACAGACCCCACAGAAGCAGCAAGTAATGGAATTAAAAAAAATCTCTTCTCTCTTGGAGCTGACATTATAGTGGGAAATGGAAATAATTAGAAGATTGTTGTCATATTAAAATATACAATCCATTGTGCCTGAAACTATGGAGGCTAAAATGGATAGCTTGCTTCCTTGAAATCTTAGGGAAAAGATGATTAATGTTTGCCAAAGAATTGAAAGGCCCAAATTGAGAATAACTGGAGTCCTTAAACTTGCCATTTTGCATTCTAGCAAAATCATACATCTTTGATTTAATAATTAGAAGGGAAGCAAGCTACTGCTCCTTTGTGTATAATTACAAGCTTGTTGCAGGCAAATAATTCTGTATATTAACAACTTTTTCACATTTTTGGTGAATCATTATCTCTTCAGTTTCTGACATTATAACAGCTATCATATTTGTATACTTTCTATCAAATTTGCCTTGATATGAAGGGGTTTTACAAACTTATTGATCATTTATGCCATGTATAGTGTTATTGGGGATATAACAAAAATAAAAAACTGTTTTGGTCCTCAATAGATTTACAATCCAAAGCAGAGTGGGAGGAAGAGACCTACAAGACCATGTTTCATTGGATAGCTTTGGAGTAATATCTATAATTTTAGAAAAAAGTTAAGAGGAAGAAGAAACTGGTGTCAGCTACACTTAGAAGATTTTACAACAGAGACTGGCTTCCATTCACTGATCAGACATTCACTGATTTTTAATTCTTACCACCAGAGAAAAAGTTGTTATGATGAGGGTCCTCAGGAAAGACAATACAGTCAGCCGAGAAATACAATTTTCTTTGTCTACTGTTGTTTCCTTTACACGGACCATTGAAATATATACTTAACCACCAGCAAAACTCCTATTAAACACAAGTAAAAAAAAATCACTACATGCAAAAGAGTGAACACCAGGCAAAGTGATAATTTATGAATTTCCAGGATTTTTGTTGTAATTTACCCGTGTAAGTTTACAATAAATGATTGATGTAACTAAATTTATGGATTGCAATTAATTACTAGGTTTGTACCACAGATGAAGTAATATATATATTGTCTAATTTAATAATGATTTGTCTACAGAATTCAACCAACTGCTCATTACAGAATCTGATGAACCTACCTTTAGACTACCTGTTATCTTAACTACCTGTGAAGATACTATATATGATGTAATAGGTTTAACAAATAATGAAGGACCTTTTGTCCTTGCTTGACTCAAGAAGGGATGGAGGGTCTCCAAGAAATATAAATGTAGTCTGCTATAATGGGTATTAGCTAGATTAGTACTTCAGAAAAGGAAGAATTATTTTCATTATCAAATGATTATTTGATATTTCCATTCTGCATTCTAAGCACATATTAGTTGATGTACAGGTGCTGCTGGATAACTGTTTGGAAACAGACCACAAAATCGCTCCAAAAGGTAAAATTCTCAAATAACAGAGTTGTCATGGTTGTAAAAAAAAGGTATGATAAATACATAAAAGCTGGCAAAAATGGGGAAGGATTAAAACTGTAACCTTAGTTATCCTTCAGTAAACATAGTTAAGTAGAATGAAGCAGATGTTTATTCTGGTAGATTCTATTGCAATGTTACATTTTAACTTAATATTTCTATTTTGTGATTTATTTTTAGTATAGCAAAATGTTTGGTTAATATTGTGGGTATTGATACTGTGTTAAAATTTGTGACAGTCTATTTAATTTTTCAATATGAAGAAGTATTACTGCTATGATGAAATATTTACTGTTGTGGTGGAAATAAATAAGAAAATAGAATTGACTAAAAGCAAAACAAACCAATAAAAAAAGAAAAAAAGTCTGTTATTTATCAACAAAACATTAGGAAATTTACATGCTTAAAGTAAACTTTGATTCCCTATTCCAAAGTGCCTTATATATTCTACTCTCTTTGCTTTCACATAAATTTATTCTATGCTATAATGTAACTGGTATACTATTAAGTCCCATACATATGTTACATTGAACCATACATTTTTCTATTCCAGGAAAGAGAATTTTCTCATTTTTTCCACCACTACCATCCACCACAATGACCACTATTTTTCTCTTCACTTAAAAAGTATCATTTATCTAAAGTTAATGGCATAGTTTCAGACTTCTCATGTGTCCAAGCATATGAATTAACAGTTCCTATGTTATTGTCCTAAGATTTGTAGGTTAAACCTTGGATATTCCCATCTGAGCATCTGTACCAAACAGAAAAGACCTGTGTGAGTTCCTGAGAACCAGTGCTCATTCCAGAAGAGACAGGTTTCTCTCCAGGAAGAAATGTCTGAAATTCAGTGAATTAAAATCCTCATTGAGTCTTCCTACTCTTTACTTCTCCCTGGAAAAACTGGTTACGAAAATTTAATATTCTGTCATGATAAGATCAAGCTCTATCAGATCAGCCATACATATCAAGTACATTTTGACAAACTTGATTCATACTGTTTTCAAATTATGAACAACCAAGGCTCTTCTATCCAAAAATATTGATTATTTAATTCTGAATATCATTACAGAGCAGTAATATGCTCTCAGCATTTGGGGATACAAGAGTCAGAAGATGGACAAGCTTCCTTCCTAACAACAATTACCACTTAATTACAATATACCAAGTAGTATTTTATCTGCTAGGTATATTGGACTTACTTTTCACAGATAGTTTATACTAACAAAATTTCTAACCAAAATATTTCTTGAAAATTACTGATTTTATTTGAAATTATGTGCAGGAAAAATACAAGCATATCTCTGAATTTCTATTTGTCTGTTAAACAAAAGGGGATAAATATGACTAATGTCATTTAACAAGAGGAATTACAGACTATGAAAAGAGTAGCTTATTTATATCAACTCACAATACTTTCCAGAGAGAGAAAGAAAAAGGCTATTATGTGGCCTGAACAAGAAGTTGGCCATCCTTTTCCCTTTCTTTGTGGAAGATGGTCCTGATAGGATAGAGACTTAAAGAAGGGATTGATTTGTTTTCTCCAGCTGTCCTAATAGTGAGTGAATAAAATTAACTGTGAACTATTTCAATCAATAACTCAATGATTGACTTACATTGATTAGAAAAGAGCTGATTCTTTGCCATGGATATCTAGATACCTTGATGATCCTATTTTGAACCAATTTAAAAGTAGGACAATACCCACTGGATGGAAGTTTCAAAACCTGAAAACAATAAAACCCACAAGATTTTATTTCTTTTAATAACTTCTGTGACAATGAAATTGAAGTCTTACACACTTTTTTTTTTTTTTACTCCAGTGTCTTGTTATCTGGAGCAAAATTCAGAAAGGAGAGCAACTATGTAAAAAAGTAAGAATTTTGGCTTGCTATGCCATTCTTAGAGGTTTCTTTTATCTTTATATTTTCTTGAAATGTCTTGTGTAAAATTTAAACAACTTCCTGTACTATAAATAAGATATTTTGAAGGCAAGCATATGCATAGATAATACTTTAGAAAAGAATTGTGATTCCAATTCTGTACTTAGCACTTAATATTAAAAGTTTCTTATAGTGAATATAATTTTCTACAACAGATAGTACAATTTTGTTTCACCATTAACAGGTAAATAAGTAAATATACATTTAAATAAATATTATAAAGTTCATTTGTTAATTAATACAAACATTATAAATTATTGAATACTTTTTCCAATGGACAAGCAGCTTTAAAAACCTGCTTTCACCACTTTATTTATTTATTTTTTTTTGAGACAGAGTCTCGCTCTGTCGCCTAGGCTAGAGTGATCTCGGCTCACTGCCAGCTCTGCCTCCCGGGTGCACGCCATTCTCCTGCCTCAGCCTCCCAAGTAGCTGGGACTACAGGCACCCGCCACCACACCCGGCTAATTTTTTGTATTTTTTTAGTAGAGACAGGATTTCACCGTGTTAGCCAGGATGGTCTTGATCTCCTGACCTCGTGATCTGCCCACCTCAGCCTCCCAAAGTGCTGGGATTACAGGCATGAGCCACCGTGCCCGGCCTTTTTTTGGTATTTTTAGTAGACATGGGGTTTCACCCTGTTAGCCAGGATGGTCTCGATCTCCTGACCTCGTTATCCACCCGCCGCGGCCTCCCAAAGTGCTGGGATTACAGGCATGAGCCACCGTGCCAGGCCACTTTCACCACTCTTAATCCTCTGAGGTGAAGAGGTCTTTTAAACTATAGTTTGTATAACTGAAAATCAAAAGAAAAAAGTTTTAATGAAGTTTTTGTAATTAGTAAGAAACATAAGGGAATACCAAAAGCAAACTTTTTTGAATGCTTACTTTTGGGGAAGCATTGAATTTTATATCTGGTATATGATAATTCATATCTTAGGATATGCTCCCCTTTCTATAAGTAGGAATTAGGAAACACGGAGAGGTGAATTTTTTGCTCATGAATGAATTTACCCATTAGGCATTTTTGAGAGGTATCAGTAGTCAGCAGTTATCACTTTCTTCTACTCTTCATATTGCTAGAGACATAGTGACTCCATGTCTTATAGAATGTTCATTTTCTCTTTCACTTATCCCATATCATGTGCCAGCTATTGATCCAATCAATTTTAACAATGAAAGTTCTAAACCAGGAACCATTTACACTGGATCTTACATTTGCCCTGGGTAAGATGGCAGTTGATGGCAGTGTCCACGTGCATCAGGAAGAAGTCTTCATTAGCTTCATGATTTAAGTCCTTAAATGTAATTTTATCACAGAAAACATAACCTATATTCAAGCCTTAACCTTAACTTAGTCCTCATATTCATTGTTACCCTTACCAAGTTTTTCTTAATTGTATGCCTAGCATGCAAATGATACGGACAGGAGACAGGGAAATACAGGGTAGAAAAGGGCAGTTCCCCAGCAAAGGCCCCACCCTCAAGCCTGAAAAACCATGGCCCTAAATGAGGACAGGCATTCCTGTTGTCACACCCAAAAAGTTGCCTTTTGGCCTGCCATGCCCCATATCCTGTACCCATATAAATCCCGAACCCCACGCTCCAGAAGCAGATGAGCAGGTGAGGAAATGAGGAGTCAAACAGATGGATAGTAGAACGACACAGCAAAGAAAGAAGAGGAATGTCTGAATACCAAGAGGAGTTCAGCTGGGGGCAGTTAGGGAGAGGTTTGGAGACTGGCCAGTTTCCAGGGGAAGATCACCTTCCTATTCTATCCCCTCCTTCTGCCTCCTCATCCAGCGCACTGAGAGCCACCTCCACCACTCAATAAAAACCTTGCATTCATCCTTTAAGCCCGTGTGTGACCTGATTCTTCCAGGACGGTGGGTAAGAGCTCAGGATACTGAAAGCTGTCACACTGGCTCTCTGCGCTTGCGAAAAGGCAGAGGGTCCATTGAGCTGGTTAACACTTAAAATCATCTGCAGACAGCAAGGCTAAGAGAGCATCAGTTAACACTGTGGCTGCAGGCACCCACCCCAAGACACTGCCGTGTGACCAGAGAACACAGTGCTTGCTCCAGCCTCTGCACCCACCTGTCTGCATGATCCCTCTCCCTCAAGGGTTTTGAGCAGCAGTGGTGACCAAATAGCCAAGCCACTCCCCTGTTGCAAGTCCTGAGAGGGGGATCAGGGAACTCTCCCATTTCACTTAGGCAGGGAAGGGGTAAGACTATGGGATGGACTAAGAATGTAGATTTTACATATCACTTGGTAATTTGTTACAAATTATTTGGTAATTTTTTTTTCTTTTTGAGACAGAGTCTTGCTCTGTTGCCCAGAGCCGGAGTGAATGGCCAGTCTTGGCTCACTGCAACCTCCACCTCCTGGGTTCAAGCAGTTCTCCTGCCTCAGCCTCCCGAGTAGCTGGGATTACAGGTGTGCGCCACCAAGCCCTGGCTAATTTTTGTATTTTTAGTAGAGATGGGGTTTCACCATGTTGGCCAGGCTGGTCTAGAACTCCTGACCTCATAATCCACCCACCTCAGCCTCCCAAAATGCTGAGATTACAGGCATAAGCCACCGTGCCCAGCCTACTTGGTAATTTTTAAAAGCTACAGGTTTAATAGTTAATTTCTCAAGCAAATAAAAGATGTTCCCAACTCCAAACTGCTTTATTAAATAATTTAACCTAATTAAATAGAATCCTGATCATGGACCATATAGTTTATTATCCAAACTGGAGCCACAGGCAGTAGACAGGATTGAACCAGACAATCCTGCAAGATCACCCACCCTCCTTCAAAGAGATATTGTCTGTGAGTGGACATTATCCTCACAGCCTTATACCTCTTTTTTCCAATGGACAATTGCATATGAAATGACAGCAGAAAAATTAAAAAACAGGGCATCCCCAAGGGCAAAATAATGTAGGCCCAACTCAACACATCAAAGATGAAAAACTGCAGAATATAGCACTCCTCCAACCTGAGCTGTAAAAAGTTATATTCTTCAAATAATTTTCACTACCACTCTATATAACCATGTTAAATACATTAGCACAACATACTGATGAAAATAAATGTCTTCCAAGATTTGCACATAAATGCAAAGAGGATCGTAATCATTACTTTTAAGAGATTTGGGGTCAGTTGGTGTGTGTATAGGGGAGTGTGTTTTATTGTGATATAATTCAAAAACCATACAACTGAACAGTTTAATATATTAGCAGAGTTCTGCAACCATCACCACTATCTAATTATAGAAGAATTTCAACACCTCAAACACAAACTCCATACCATTTAACAATCACTCTTAATTCTTCATTCTCCCCACTCCCAGGCAAACACAAATCTACTTTCTGTCTCTGTGGTTTTGCCTGTTCCGGACATTTCATATAAATGAAATCATACAATGCCTTTTCTGGCTGAATTCTTTTTACAATATAATAATTTCAAGGTTCATTCATGTTGTAACACGTATCAGTACATCATTCCTTTTTATTTCTGAATGATATTGAATTATATGGACATACTACATTTTGTTATCCACTCATCAGTTGCTGGACATCTGTATTATTTCCATTTCTGAGGTATTATGTGTAACACTGCTATGGACATTTATGTGGAATTTTTTGTGGACATATGTTTTCACTTCTCTTGGATATATACCCAGGAGTGTAAATTGCTGGTCATATTGTCTCTGTTTTATAATACATTTTGAGGAACTGCCAAACTGCTTTCCAATGTGACTTCACCACTTTAAAATCCCACAGCAATATATGATAATTACAATTTCTCCATATCCTCACCAACATTTGTTATCATCTGTTTTTTTTATCTGAGCCGTCCTAGTGAGTATAAAGTGGTATCTCATTATAGTTTTGATTAGCATTTCCCTTCTGGCTAATGATGCTGAGTATCTTTTCATGTGTTTCTTAGCCATTTGCATATTTTTCCTTGAAAACAGTCTATTAAGATATTTTTCCTTATTTTTGAATGGGTTATTTGTTTTTTCACTACTGAATTGTAAGAGTAGTTTCTTTATGCTAAATACAAGAGCTGTATCAGTTATATGTTTTGCAATTGTTTTCCCTTTTACTGGATTGTTATAATAAAGAGTCTGACTCCATTATTGATGTGTGACTCTTGGCAGCTTTTAAAACCCCATCCTAATGTCTTCCCCTTCTGTCCCGCACTGGACCATGATGATAAGAAAGTCTGGGTTTTCCCACCTTTGGCACTGAAGGGAAGTTCAAACCACACAGGGGGACCCTCAGCCCAGCCTCATCTTATAACCCCCATAAAACCCCCAAACCATTGTCCTTTCTTGGCTCTCAAGACATTTTTACACCTTCTTGGGAGCCAGCTTGCTCACCTAGAAAGCGTCATCCTATGAGGGAATGTATTTCATAACCTGTTGGTGCATGTGTGTTGTCAGCAGTCTTGACATCAGTAACCAAATTTTGGGTGGGAGTCCATTCTGTTTATAAGATGTGGCCAAAGAATTATTTTTTAGTATCTCAATAGTGTTTTTCAAGACACGAAATTTGATAATTTTGACAAAGTTCAATTGATCTTTTTAAATTTTGTCACACGGTTTTGCTGTTATTTATAAGACTTTCGACAACTCAAGTGTGTGAAGTTTCACCCTTATATTTTATTCTGAGTTGTATTGTTTTATCTCATACCATTAGTTTATACTCCATTTTGAACTAATTTTTGTATATGGTGTGAAAGGAGGGCACAGCTTTATTCTACTTTATGTGGATATCTAGTTTTCCTAAAATGATTTGTAGAAAAGGCTATTCTTTCTCCCATTGAATTGTCTTGGCACCCTTGTTGAAAATCAATTGATACTAAATGCAAGGGTGTATTTCTGGACTTTCAATTCTATTCCATTTATCTATGTGCTTATCCTTAAGCCCGTATAACACTGCTTTGATTAGTGTAGCTTAGTAGTAAATTTGAAGTGAAAAAAATATATAATGTAAGTTCTCCAACTTTGTCTTTATTTTTTATGATTATTTTGGTTACCTTTTATTTCCATATGAATTTTAGGAACAGCTTGTCAATTTCTTAAAGAAAAAGGCAGTTAGGATTATGATAGGAATTGCATTGCACCAGAAATTGCATTTGAGGAGAACAACTATCTTAATAATATGAATGCTTTTTTTTTTTTTTTTTTTTTTTTTTTTTGATACGGAGTCTCGCTGTCGCCCAGGCTGGAGTGCAGTAGCACAATCTCGGCTCACTGCAGGCTCCGCCCCCCGGGGTTCACGCCATTCTCCTGCCTCTGCCTCCCGAATAGCTGGGACTACAGGTGCCTGCCACCTCGCCCGGCTAATTTTTTGTATTTTTAGTAGAGACGGGGTTTCACTGTGTTAGCCAGGATGGTCTCGATCTCCTGACCTCCTGATCTGCCCGCCTCGGCCTCCCAAAGTGCTGGGATTACAGGCATGAGCCACCGTGCCCGGCCTGAATGCTTTGTATCTGTAAACATGAGAAGTGTTTCTATTGATGTCTTTAATTTCTTTCAATAATGTTTTGTCATTTTCAATGTACAAGTCTTGCTCATGTTTTGTTAAATTTATTTCTAAAATGTTTCTTTTTGATAAACAAACATGTTTTAAATTTCATTTTGGATTGCCCATTGCTCTGTATTCAAATATGACAGATTTTGTTGGTATACTGTTCTTTTATCCCACAATATGGATGAATTTGTTAATGTATTTTGATAGTTCTTTTGTTCATGCCTTTGGATTTCCTGTATACAAGATAACATTCTGTACAGATAGAGTTAATTTTATTTCTTTCTTTTCAATACGGATGCCTCTTATTTTACTTTCTTGCTTGATTTTCCTCCCTAGTGATGTGGCATTTTTGCTCTTTAGTTCAGCTGAATCTGGATTTTTGTCTCATAACCAGGAAAAATTAGGCACACAGACACATTGAAGGGTGAGAAGGACAATTTATTAAGCAAAAGGAAAACTCTCAGCAAATAGAGGGGCTCTCCAAGCAGGTTTCCCCTTCACGATGGAATACAGTATTTCCACGCGTGAGCTGAAAAGGCCAGGCTCCTCCCTTGCATAAGGTGCGAATTTCGGGTGGCACCACCCTGTCCTTCCAATGCACATGTGGGCCCGTTGTTTGAGCCACTCCACATTGATTTATTTCCCTTATTGTGCATGTGTTAAGGGATGGAATTTTTCACCATGGGCGTGTTTAGGCAAGCCCCCATTGTACAATGACCTGGGTGGGTTGAAGGCTCTCCGGGGACCCTCCCATGTCTGCCTAGGAGAGTTCTCTGCCTCCTGCCTCTATTACCAGAACCTCCAGTATAAAATTTAATGTAAGTGATGAGACCATACATCTTGAGTTGTTTCTGATCTTGGCAGAGAAACATTCATTTGTTTTTCACCATGAAATATGATTATTTGTGGAATTTCATAGATGTTTTCAAGAAGAGGTGTTGGACTTTTCAAATTCTTCCACATTTACTGAGATGATCGTGTGGTTTTTGTCGCCTTTTCTGTTAATATGGTGTGGTACATTAATTTTCAAATGTTAAAGCAACCTTGTATTCCTGGCATAAAAAACAGATTGTGTTCAATCTTTTTTGACTGTGTTGGATTCTGTTAAAATTTTGTGAGGATGTTTATATTTGTCTTCATAAGGGATATTTTTCTGTAGTTTAGATTTTTTTCTCATGATTCATCTCTTTCTGTATTTTGATAGCCAAAGTAAATATTGTATTGATATTAATTCTTCTTTAAAGGTTTAGTAGAATTCACAACCACACCATCTGGTCCAAGTGACAAACAATAATTTTACATATTTATGCGGTACAATGTGATGTTTTAATATATGTATACATTTAATAAGGTCATTAGAAATGTCCTTCATTACTGATTTTACTAATTTGATTTTTCTCAGTCAATTTAGATAAAGTTCTGTTGTTATATTTACAAAAGCACAACATTCTATGTGCTATACCTTCCTGGGTTTTTTGTATGTGTTTTTCTCTCATGGCTTATATTTGTTTGGTACAAACTAGACAAATAAGATAATAGTGACAGCTCTGGAGCTCAGATGCCCTTCCCTCAGGTTTGTGTTTGTTGCTGTTTTGTTCTTGTTATTTAGCTGTTTTTTTTTTTTCTGACTTTACAGGAATATTGTAAAGACTGAATTTTTGGTTGTATGCCATCACTGAATTCTCTGCTCAGTTTAGTTTTCACGTAATGATTGGGCAGATATTTTCTTAAATGCCTTGAATAAGTAAGTCTTCCACCCTTCGCTCTGTGTATCATGGGCGCACTTTCATTACAATGAGATATCATTTCAGACTTGCTAGGATGAGTGTGATAAATAATCAGAGAATAAATTTTGGTTAGTGTAAGGGGAAATTAAAACTCATTTAGTGTTGGTCAAGATGTGCAATGATGCAACCAGTATGGAAAAAAACTGATAGCTCTTTAAGAATTAAACATAGCTTTACCATATAATCCAGTAATTTCATCCTAAGTATACACCCAAATGAATCAAAAGCAGGGACACAGATACTTGCACACTAATGCTTACACTAGCATTATTCACAATAGCCAATAGGTGGAAACAACACAAATGTCCATCAGCAGATCAATGAATAAACAAAATGTAGAATATGAACAATTTGGAATATCATTCACTCATAAAAAGCAGTGCAATTCTGACACGTTACAACAACATGATGAAACTTTAAAACATTGTGCTAAGTGAAATAAACTAGACATAAAAAAACAAATTTTGTATGATTCCACATATATGAGGTAGCAACAATAAGTAAATTCAGAGACAGAAAGTAGACAGGTTAACAGGGGCCAGAAGGAGAGGAGAATGGGGAATCAATGTTTAATGGGGTAAAGAGTTTCTGTTTGGGATGATGAAGTTCTGGAAATAGATAGTGGCAATGATTATACAACATTGTGAATATATTTAATGTCATTGAGTTGTAACATATAAAATGGTAAATTTTACATTATGCATATTTTACCACAATCAAAAAAATCAAATCCACTCTTAAAATGTGAGAATTTGTTACAAGTGAAGATATTCAGTGATAGCTGAAGAAGTTCAATAGTAGTTACAAGCAAAGAGAACAATTTAAAAAGCAATTTGAAAAACAACTTCACCTTGTGACATAAAGTACATGGTGAGATATACTTTTGAATTATTTCATGTCTTGCAGCTTCAACTATGTTTTAAGTTCTGAAAAGCCTGAGCTATTTCTTATCATATACATTTGACTCCTACATTCATATTCACTTAATATTTATTATAGTTTCTTTTATATATATGATTTTATTTTCTTTTTTCCCTACACATACACATTCAGAAAACTCCCTTCTCATGAATTCACCCATGTTTTGAAATGTTTATGTTTTGTTCAATTATAGCCCATCTAACTAGCTAAAAAACAAGTTCCTTCTCATAAGTCATTCATCCTCCCCTTGTATTATGCTGTCCTATGTGAATATTCTTGTTTTAGCTGTATAATTAATTCTTACTGAAGACATTGTTTTATGACTACCTTCATTCCTACTACTGCTGTGACAACACAACTCTTTCAGTCCCCTATTCCCAATTAATTTCTTAGCAATTCACCCAGCTACTAGTTCCATTCATTTTCATCCAGCCTCTTGAAGTTGTTTAAAAACTTTTATTGGTTGCATGAATGAGCCAAATATTTTGAAATTTAAACTTTTATTGGTTGCATGAATGAGCCAAATATTTTGAAATTTATTTTTAAATGTGGTCTTTTTTTACCGAGTTAATTTTATGAATCAAAGTACTTAAATGTATTTAGTAATTGTGTACTTCAGAATTAAGTCAAAGATTTAGGATAGAGTTCATAAGAGGCACTACTGATTTAGATATGACATTTTATTTTTTTTGTCAGTATCTTTCCTTCCCTTAGTGTCTTTGAGTCCAGATGTCTCCATTTTCATTCTTAGGGAACCTCTTTCCATTAAAGATGCCTCTCTATTTTTCCCTTGGTCATATTATTTCCCTTTGATTTATATATATAAGAATATTTTTTAATGAAAAACTTACTCTTGAGGAAGTGTTTTTATAGCCTATGCAATATTTTAAGAGAGCAAACATTATTTCCTATTCATTTATTACTCAGATGTTCTATAACACTGAATTCTAATTTTAGCGTGAAGAATGTGAAAATAGTTGCTGATCTCTATGGTTGCCAGATTTAGCTAATAAAAATACAGGATACTCTGTTAAGTAAGAATCTCAGATAAACACAAAATATAAACATTTTTAGTATCAATATTTCTCCTGCAATATTTGGGATATAGTTATACTAAAATATTTTTTATTTGAAATTAATATTTAACTGGGCTTCCTGTATTTTATCTGTATCCCATACCCATGTCATACCAAAGAAAGGGGTAATTTTAGGATTTCTTGGGATGATAACTCTTTAGACACTTATGATTTCTTAATTCCAAAGTATTTCCTATGGTAAATAACATTCATCTTTGAATACTGGGCAATGAACAACTCCATAGATAACTCTCAAAAAAATTTTAAAATTCAGCTTTATATTGTCAATACAATATTTTGTTTTCTCCATGAATGAATACACATTTCAAAATCTTTAAAAAGTTAGCAGTCATATGTATTTTTAATAAAATTAAAGAAACAAAGAAACATGAAAGCACACCTGTCACCTAGATTGTACTAATTTTCCTATAAACCATGCAGAAATATGTGTCCATTTTGAGAAGAATAAAATATAAACATACATATTTTATAAGATTGTTCGTAGAAAAACACGTTACTTGTTTCCACAAAAATTAGAGCCTACATGCACATCAATTTTGAAACAGCTTTTTATGCAAATTTGTCTTGTTGGAGCTAAAAATAAGGAGTTTCATAGCTCATACCATGTACTTTAAACATGTACAGCCTAAAGCACAATTTTACAGCTGAATTTTAAGCCCCTGTGAAATGGGGTTTCTAATGGAAATGCTGACAGACTGCTAGCTGCAGGGACACCAGCAGGCACCATTATAATAAATGGGTCTTAGGGAGACATGATATAGGCCCACAGGTAATTAATGGCGGGAGTAAAATAAAATATAGGCACACCATCCCACCGAGAGCATGATGCAATGGAAGAAACTTGTAATAAAACACAAAGAATGTCCATTTAGCGAAGAACTGTGAGGAAAGACTTGTAAAATAAATCATGAGCCAGGACTGTAGCTATAAGCAGTCATTGCATATTCCCTAGTAGTTAGACTTTTTACAAAAACACTGTAAAAATAATTTTTGGCTAAGTAAAATTGCTCTGTGTAATGAATTGAGAAGGCAATGAAATGTAAACTCAACTACTCAAGAAAGCTAACGATATCCAGGGTTTTCTATTTGGAATGTTAGCTGTAAGAAGTCCAAGAATAAGACTCCATAATGCAGAAGACTTGAATATAAAATATATTCTTAGAACACAGAATAATATGGTTGTATTATCTCTTCTCCAAATGTCTTCATTCAGTCTCCTAACTGCATTTTTTGTTTCTCTCTGGAGTCCAAGAAGGCCCTTAGACCATTGGCCATAATTTTTCTTGATATTTGAAGTCTGTCGTAACTGTTGGTTAATTTTTTTTTCTTTCTGCATTAGAGGATGATTGACATCAACTTAAGTAACTGAAATTCATTTTAAGCTCATCTCCACATTTGCCTTTAGCTGCGTTGTTATTTTGCAAAGTCAGTGTTTGTAAGTGTGTGATTATTTCATTGTAGACTAAAATGTGTCCTGAAGACAGTGCAGTCACATTAAGACACTACTATACAGCTGAGAGAATCTGAAATATGTGGCAGGTGGGGGAGGGCAGTAAAAAAGACAGAGAGAGAGAAAGAAAATAAAAGAAAAATGACTGTGCCACATTATTAGCCTAAAATTTTCAAGAAATTTCCATTAATCCTCTCTCTTCCTGGCCTCAAGGTGGCAATCAATTAATCCTATATGTTAAATGGGATGACTGAGTCCTGAGAAGTTTGAATGGCTTGCCAAGGTCTCATAGCTAAGACTCTGGAGAAGTAATGACAAATATCAACCATTTTCTCCTGCTGAAGTTTCCCATTATAACATATTGCCCTTGTAATTTCAGAAAAGAGTAAAATGTTTTTTTGCCGAGTTAGATATATTCGTAATTGCTTTACAAATATAGATTGAGGCTGAATAATTTAGATAAGCTGGCTTCTAAGAGCAATATCTATATAGATATTGAGTTGTGTTTTCCTATACATAAAAGCATCATCAGTAAAAATCAACTATCCATTTTCTCAGTAATTACTTACTAGAAAAAAACTTAATAAAGCGACTTTTGTCTTTTTTCTTAAAATTTGTCAAAATATCCAAAGCACATTTTGAAATTTGTAATTCTCTTTTTACTCCCTTTCTTATTTGACCTATGAAAGCTGTCATTGTAATAATGTTGAGTCAAATTTGCTGTAATGAAAAAATAATAGCAAGTAACAAAAATTCATCAACTTTTAAATTTCTGATTATGAAAAAATATTTTTGAAAAATTTATGGAAATTCATTTATTTATATTTTTTGGTTGGGTGACTGGTGTTATCTACTTCCAATTTTTAGTTTAGTATGATTATAATTTTATAGTTGGAATGTGGTGATAACTAAATTGCTTATCTTAAAAATAATGTGGAAGTATGGTGGACCAGTACTTTTAAACTGTATTTTTTTTAGAACTGTATTTTAATTGCATTTCCAACCTTTTGTAAAAGTAGGAAATCTCCTTTAATGCTAAAAAATAAAATTGAACGTGGGAATCTAGGAAGATAAGCAGTTAAAAATGAGAGAATCTATAATCCCCTGTCACCTTGTACTTCTGTTTTGATAGCCACATGGGGTGTGAGTTACATGAGGCAAAACCTAGACCCATACAACAAGGGAGTCAGCCAGGAGACATGCAATAAGGCCCAAAGTGTTACATCCTCAGTGAAAGAGCGAATTAGAAGGGGGCCCACTCCTCAAAGAGAGGCAGGAGAGAACCTGGCCTCTCTTTTTCAAATGGAGGAAAATTATTTCCCATGAAATAATTGCATGAAAAATTTACAAGGCAGTCCTCATGTGAATTTGTAGCCCAAGTTCATATGGCCTTTGCGGTCCAAAATACATTTAGCTTGCTGTTTATTTATAGGTGATCTCTGATATATAAAGTATTTACTATATCTGGGTTTGATTTCTTCACATTAGGATGCTTTTATTGACGTCTTCAGTCAATAAGCCAGCTTCTAAGCCTCATAAAATTGGATTTAAAACATAGTTGATAATTTGATTTCAAATTATTTGCAAAAATAATATCCATATTTGTGTTTTTACTGGGTATGTACTACAACCAAAGACAGCCTTTCAATTACGTTTCTAATGTCTGAGTAGAAAGTTTGCATGTTAAATGATTATTTGCATCATATGTGTTTAAATTACTAGTCAGCTTAGTAAAGCTATAGACTTTAATAACTACTTTTCTCAAGTTTAACTATAACATGTGATTTGTTTTTAATTTACAAATCTGCTAACTTTTACAAAAATATTAAAAATTTTTTTTATTTTTTGATCATTGTTAAATTAACTCAATTATACTGAAAGATTAAAATTTTAAATGTATGACACCACTTACATGATTGATTATATTTACATTTTAAACT